>NC_000005.10:180575585-180726030 GCF_000001405.40 Homo sapiens | reverse complement strand
TCCTCATCTGATATGAGGCCAGCCACTCTTTAGAAATATGACCTATTCATATGATTCCTTATTTGGCCTGTTCTTCAGCTTTCCAAAATCAAATTTGCCACCAGCCGATACCTGTGGTCACCTCCACTGAAATAAGAGAGATAGTTTTCGACCCAAGGGTGTGCTTTGAGAAGTATCTTCTGCTGTGTCTTTCTGAGCTCTGTAGCTGCAGAGTCATCTTTCCAAGCAACCTCTTCCACTTCATCTCACACCAGTGCTCAATTCCCACCTGGTTCACCGTCCTCGACATTTTGTGGTTTGGAGTTTTAGATAATTCTCAGTTTCTCTGAAAATGGAAATTCAACTTCTGATTTTAATTCTCCTTGCGGCTTTTGAATGATTTATGTAATAGAAGGGGGAAACACTGACTTTATGGTATGATGTTATATGCTCTATTTATGCTTGTTGAGTTGAATTTCCAGTAGTTATCTACATTTATTTATAAGTTCCTTTTCTGATTCTTGCACACTGGGGTGAGATAGTAGGCCAGAGCTGAGGGTATACTTTGTGAACAGAAAACAAATGCCAGAAGTATTGTTTGTTCAGTGTGAATCTAACTGGACTTAGATGGCATTTCAATCTTTCAATTTTGTTTTCATCAGACCCACCTCTAACATCTGAAAAAGGAAGAAGTAAATGAGAAAAATCTTCTTCATATACAAGTATCTTTACTGAAAAGTTGTTTGAGCCTTATACTTAATTTTAACCTATTAAACTACATTTAATATAATCTGTTTTCCTGTGGTCTTTAGCAATAACCATGCTCCCACACCACATCCTATGCAAATATGTGCATATGTACATTATGTGCAAAAATGTGCATGCTTGTAAGTATCCATTCACAACTTAGTTTATTTAGACTGACGCCAATTTTCACTCGGAACAGGCAGTGAGGGATGAAGGAGGCAGCCTGGGCGTGTGAGGTCGGTATGGTGTACAAGCCGGGCATTATTCAGGTCGCGGGAGCTAAGGTTTGCCGTCAACTGCTTCATGTCCTTCTACTGAACATTGTAAGATCATTATCATAATTCCTTCACCAATTTGCTTATTAAATATTTCATGAAGGAAACACCTTAATATTTCCTTAATTGAATGGCTATTCAATGAATGATAACATGAAGGTACTCTTGGAAGAATAACAAGATAAGACAGTGGTTTTCAGAGTGTCCCAAAGGAGGCCATTGTCTCAGGGGTCCCCAACCAGCAGCATCACCAGCTCCCAGGAACTTGTTAGAAATTTGAACTCTTGGACCCCAGCCTGACCTCTTCAATCAGAGACTCTGCGGGAAGGGGGACAGTCATCTGTGCTTTAACAAACCCTCTGCTGATTCTAATGCACACGTGTGGGAATCACTGATATCAGCCACGATTCCTCCCCCTATCTTTTCTTTTGGTTCTGTATAGAACTGAGTCACTTCAAGGGTTAAACGAGCTCACTACGTGAAGATTCTAGAGTATAAAGTAGTATACATCTTTTAGTTATTGTGTCCACCATAAAAGGGGGCAAACTGAGGTGGGAATCTCTAAGAGTTCAGCCTTATCTTTTACAGTGTGTGTAGAAAGCCATGAATTAACCTTAATATCAAAATCCACCTTCCCCCTCCAGGTGACCAGCCATGGAAATTGCTATTACTAACTTGAAACAGAGTATTTCTTCGTGGGCATAGATTCGTGGGAAATACAACTCTCAATCTTTTGTTGCTTATTTTTATCCAGATATAGTAAGAGTAAAACAAATATCCATGTAGCTGTGAGATGGAAAACAGTCCGAGGAGACGATGGGGACAGGAGAGGGGAGGGCAGGCCCCCTCTTTCAGCACCAGATCAACAGGATGAATATCTGTCAGTGCAGCAGTGAGTCACTTCCTTCTCCACACCTGGCCACCTCTTTGGGTCTCTGTCTGCAGCCTGGATTTCCCCAAATTTAGGGCCTGGAGATGATCACTGTATTCATTCTATTTTAGGTAAGTTTCTGCCTTTAGTGTAAGCAATTCTACTATTTTTCACCTCACCGAGGGATTTGATTATGTGATTGGTGCTTGACAATTAGACAAGGGTGCATGGAACACAGAACAGGTCAGTTGGGATGGGTGGAAGATCTTATGAAGAATAAAGCAGGCCGGGCGCGGTGGCTCACGCCTGTAATCCCAGCACTTTGGGAGGCCGAGGCGGGGGGATCACCTGAGGTCAGGAGTTCAAGACTAGCCTGGCCAACATGGTAAAATCCCGTCTCTACTAAATACAAAAATTAGCTAGGCGTGGTGGCGCATGCCTGTAATCCCAGCTACTCAGGAGGCTGAGGCAGGAGAATTGCTTGAACTTGGGAGGCGGAGGTTGCAGTGAGCCGAGACCACGCCATTGCACTCCAGCCTGGGCAACAAGAGTGAAACTCCGTCTAAAACAAACAAACAAACAACAACAACAAAAAAAAACCATAAAGCAATGAGGAGGTCTAGGCACCTGGGATAGAAACCCCAAAAATAAAGAATGAGGGTTCTTAGAAGAAGGGATGAAGGGAGAATTGTGCTATGAGGCAGTTCTGTGGCCATCTCAGTGACTCCTAAACTGGCCAGCTGTTTCTTGCTAGGCAAAGGGATGAGCAGGGATCTTCCTTAAAGTTGGTCCTAGGTCCTATGCAGCACGCTCACACCCGGGACAGAGCGCAGTAGTCGAGTGATTTATTGTTTTCTTTTTCTCACAGGTCACTCAGAAGGTGATGATGGGAAGGGACAATTTCACATCTTGGAGAGGCTCCATCCTGGTGGCTTCTTGCAGCAACCACAGTGAGAGAGGATATTTGTGTTCTTGTTGATAGTCCACCTTCTGACACTCGTGGCTAAGGGACTATCACTACAGGCTGTGTCCTGGACCCCCTGCTCCACACACTGGTGTCTCTTACTCACTTGCATCTCCTTTATTGACCTCACAGGGTGACCTGCCTCAGCCCTCAGATGCTGCTCAACCCTGGGAGCCGACAGGTCCGTGCGGTTTGCTGGGTGTGTTGCCCAGCTTCTCAGGGTGCCCTTCTGTCCACAATGGCATATGAGCGGCACGAGGTACACCCTGAATATATACAATTATTATGTATCAATTAAGGTGTGTTGCCCAGCTTCTCAGGGTGCCCTTCCGTCCGCAATGGCATATGAGCGGCACGAGGTACACCCTGAATATATACAATTATTATGTATCAATTAAGTATTTTATTTTTATTTTAAGTTTAATTTTATTTGACAAATAATTGTATGTATTTGTGGGATACAATGTGATGTTTTGGTGCATTTATACATTGTGGAATGATTCAATCAGGCTCATTCACATACTCACATCCTTTTCTTGTGGCAAGAACATTTAAAATCCACTCTGTTAGCAATTTTGAAATATACAATATATTAGTATTAATTATAGATACTATGCTGTGCCATAGATCACCAGAACTTACTCCTTCATTCCACTCTCTACTCCTAGGAGTTTGACATCTTTAGACTCCGCATGTCAGATCAGGCCGTATTTATCCTTTAGTGCCTGACTTCTTTCAGTTAATATATTGTCCTCAAGATTTATTTATGTTGTTACAAATGACAGAATTTCCTTCTTTTGAAAGGTTGAATAGTGTTCCATTGTGTATATAGGCCATAATTTTTTGAATTCACTCATCCATTGATGAACACCTAGGTTGCTTCCATATCTTGGCTGCTGTGAACAGTGCTGCAATGAACATGAGAGTCAGATATCTCTTTGATACACTGATTTCAATTCCTTTGGGTATACACATAGTGGGATTACTGGATCATACGGCAGTTCCATTTTTCGTCTTTTGAGAAACCTCTATACTTGTCTCCATCGTGGCTGTACTAATTTCCATTCCCACCAACGGTGCCCTAGGGTTCCCTTTCTCCACATCTTCACCAGCACTTGTCTTTCCTCTTTTTGATACTATCCATTTTGAGAGGTGTGAGGTGATAACCATTGTGCTTATAATTTGCATTTTTCTGATGTGAGCATTTTTTCGTACACTTATTGACCATTCATATGTCTTCTTTTGAGAAATGTCTATTCAGGTCCTTTGCTCACTTTTAAAGAGGGTTATTTGTTTTCTTATTATTGATTAGTTTCAGTTCTTTACATATTTTGCATATTAGTGCCTTATCCAATATATAATTTACAAGTATTTTCTTCCTACCTGTGGTATGTTCCTTCCTTCAATCAACTGCTTCTTTTGCTGTACAGAAGCCTTCCAGTTTCCTGCAATCCCATTTGTCTATTTTTGCTTTTTCATTGCTTGTGCTTTTCAGGTCATATCCAAGAAATCATGGTCCAGACCAGTGTCATGGAGCTTTTCTCTAATGTTTTCTTCTAGTAGTTTTAGAGTGTCGGGACTTTTGTTAAGTTTTTCATCCATTTTAGTTGATTCTTGCATAAGGAGTGAGATGAGTCCAATTTCCTTCTTCTGCATATGAATAGCCAGTTTCCCAACACCATTTATTTCTATTCTGCTGTTGATGAACATTGGTGCGAATGATGTGGCCATGAACTCGTGGGACTTGTTCCTGTGCACATGGGAAGGAGTTTCTCCAGGGAATGTGTCTAAGCTGGAATTGCTGGCCTCGCAATGCCATTTAAATTTATATTTCCCTGCTTGTTAATGAGGTTGGGTATTCTTTAACATGATTATAAAAAGTAGTTCCTCTTCTATAAAATACTTGATCAGTTCTTCTGCCTATGTGTCTTAGCTCTTTTTCTGCTGTGATAATCGAATATCACAGACTGGGTAATTTATAAAGAATATAAATATATATGGCTCATGGTTCTGGAGGCTGGGAAGTCAAACAGTATGGTACTGGCTTGTGGTGGCAGAGTGCTCCTTAAAGGCTGAGGTTCCAACTTTGACTCCTCTACTTTGTAGTTTTGTGACTTTGGGCAAATTAATTTGCACAAGAAACTCTCTAATCCTCCTTTTTCTCATTCATATAATGGCGATAAATAACATCACCACACATAGGGTTGTGAAGATTAACTGGTTTTTACTTACAAAGCTCTTCTATCCTTAAATTAACGCCTACTTCGCACTGACTGTTTAGCAGGTAGTATTCTACTGCTAAACAGTCAGTGCGAAGTAGGCGTTAATTTAAAGATAGAAATATAAGCCCTACCTCCATGTGCCCAGATGGTGTTCCTAGGCCAAGCATGGAGGACGTCACATTCCCTTAGCTGTGAGGGGCTGGGCAGCGTGGTCCGGCTGTTAGCCCAGGAGGAAGAGAAGGCCGTGGGTTTGGGGAGCAGCTAGGAGATCCTGCCACACATGCACTGTCTGATGTTGGCTGAGACAGTCCTATGGGGGCGCCTGAGCTCTTACGATTCTGTGGCTTTGTTGGTGAGCGGGTTTGTTTTCCTTTTCTAAGAAAACAAATAGAATCTGGGTCACAGGCCAGACATCTATTTGTTTGCTTTTTTAACTTCTAGATCAATGATTTTTAATTGAAGTATGATTGACAAATAAACATCAGATATATTTAAGGTATATAATGTGATGTTTTGATGTACATATGTGTTGTGTAACAATCAAGCTAATTAACCTACCCAACACCTCGCATATGTACTTTTTCTATTTTCTTTTCAGTGATAACACTTAAGATCTACTCTCTTAGCAAATTTCGAGTATACAATGCATTATTATTAATAAACTATAGTCACCATGCTGTACATTAGATCTCCTTATTTATCTTTAATCAAAAGTTTGTAGCCCTTGACCAGCATCCCCCTATTTTCTTCCACCCAGCAGCCCCTGGAAACCATCATTCTACTCTCTGTTTAGATTAATGATGTTTTTACAGTTTGTTATCTTAAAAGTCATCCAGAGATAGGTTAAAGACTTAGATTCTGGAGTCAGACCTCCTGAACTTAAAGACTACATCTGCTACTTTCTAATAATAATAATTAATTACATTAATAATTATATTAATTATTAACCATATTAATAATTATATTATATTGATTATTAATTATATTAATTATTAATATTATAATTAATTGTTATAATAATTATTCGTTATTAATATAATAATTTATAATATAATATTTAATTATTGGCAAGTTACTCAATCTCTCTATGCTCGTTTTCTCTTTAGTAAAATAATAATATAAAATGTGAAAAATAGTTTATATATCACAAGTTCTTTTAGAATTTGAGGGTGAAAAGGCACAGCATCCAGAGAAACTGAAAATAGAAATAAGTCTAGCTGTTAGTAATCAACTGTACCTTCTTTGCTGAGTGGCAGAAGATGAAACTTCAGCTATCCTTGGTTGCTTTATGTCAGTGTTTCCAATGTACTCAAATCTGAGAGTGGAATGCCATTTCAAATGAAAACATTCAGGTGAAAACAACGGCCAGATGGCCATGAAATTTTTACCGTCATCACAAGAGACATGAGGAAAAGTGTTTCTTCCCGTTTCATGGCCGGGCCAATGATTTAAACATTTTCTCATACATTTTGATAAAGTGGTGGTGTGGACAAATACTTACTAAAAGACGATTGTATTCATTTGGTAGGACGACCTTAACCAAATACCACAGACTGGGTAGTTTAAACAACAGTAATTGTTTTCTCACCATCTGGAGCTGGAGCTCCAAGACCAAGGTGTGGGCAGGGCTGGTTCTCCTGAGGCCTTTCTCCTTGGCTTACAGAATTGCCTCCTCCCTGTGTCCTTACGTGGTTGTCCCTCTGTGTGTGTCTGTGTCCTCACCTCCTCCGTAAGGACAGCAGTCATATTGGATTGGGGACCACCCATAGGACCTCATTTTACTTTGATTACCTCTTTTAAGGACCAGTCTCTGAACAGTCACATTCTGAGACTACTGGGAGTTAGGACTCCACAATACAAATTGGGGTTGGGGAAATGAGCACGATTCAGCCCATAACAACTATTATGGTAAAGCAATGTGTCTGGTATCATGACAATAACTCAAAACTTTTACGACTCAGTATATAGCAAGAAATCTCTGCAAAAACCTGCCTGCCTGCCTGCCTGTCTCAAACTTTCAGAGCAAAACAAAACAAAAACTTCCAGCAAAACACAAAGTTCCAGCAGGTGGAGCTGTTTCTAGACTAAAAAATCACTTGATGTGCAAACAAAGCGTGAATGCAACCTGCTTTTTGAAACAGTAAGGCTTTTTTTTTCTTTTTTAAAAATATGAAAGGAAGGCCCTTTTCAAATATATCTGGGCTTGAGTATAATAAATAGAGGATAAATCCCAAAGTTCTGGAAACATTGTTTAATATCTGCACCTCAAAGTGAACATTTTATTATAAAACATGTAGCTCTTTTCCTCTCAGATTTGATTTTAAAATGTTATTTTCTGCACACAAGAAGGAAAAGGTCTGTAATCCCAGCACTTCGGGAGGCCGAGGTGGGCGGATCACTTGAGGTCAGGAGTTCGAGACCAGCCTGACCAACATGGTGAAACAAAATTAGCCTAGTGTGGTGGTGCACACCTGTAATCGCAGCTACTCGGGAAGCTGAAGCAGGAGAATGATTAGAGTCTGGGAGACGGAGGTTGCAGGGAGCCGAAATTGTGCCACTGCACTCCAGCCTGGGAGATGGAGCAAGACTCCATTTCAAAAATAAATAAATAAATGAATTCTAAAAAAGGATGGAAAAGGGTATTTTCACCAATATCCTCCAGGCTAAGATATAAGTTACAAGTAATGAAAGGGCTCTTTATTTTTTCTTCTGACAAATCCCTCACACTTCTCATTTCCCCCTTTCTGTTAATGCTGATTCAGTTCGGTTCTGAGAATGACTGTGGTTAGGTCTTTTAGTTTATAATTCAATAGTCAAGGTGATGCTATACTCATCACTATTATGTCAAAAGATTGTTAAGTAGATGGTATAATCTCCCTGCCCCATCTCTGTTTTGTGCATTCCTTGTTCTCATCCATGGTAGGAGAAGAAGAAAATAAATAGTAAATGTTACTTAGGAATATACTTAATCACTTGTAAAAACCTTCACACAGTGGCTTAAACAACGAAGAGCTTTGAACTTTATTTTCCCATCACATAAAATAAATCTCGAGGTTGTCTGTGGCTGAAAAGGTGTCATATTTATGCAGTGCCACAAATAGCACATCGCTCCCGTCTTCATCTCCTTGTGGTACAAAAGAGCTGCTGGCAGTCCAACCTTCAGATCTACCTCCCTGGTAGAAAAGAGGAAAGAGGGAAGAGCTAAAAGACGTATATCAGATAAACAAGACCCCACTTACATGTAAGGTCGCTTTTGTAATTTATCACATTTTCTGGAGGCATACATTATGTTTCTTTTGGTGTTCTCTTTTATCCCATTGCAAATTCGCCACTGTCTTAATTATTATGGCACTCAGTAAGTCTTTATTTCTGGTAGCACAACTCTCCTTGTCTAATTTTTCTTGAAAACTGTCCTACTGTTCATTTCCTTTTTAATGTGGCTTATTAAAGTTTCACGGGAAACCTCATTTAATTTTTATTGGAATTACATTAAAGTCATAATAAATTTGGGAAGATTTGATGTCTATGAGACAGACACAGTATATTTCTCTATGCATTTAGGTCTTTATTACTTGAATTTTGTTTCATATTTTTCTTCATAAAATATTTTATTAGATTCATTCCTCGGATTTTTGTTGATAGTTTTAGTTGCTATCATGGGGGAGTTTTTCAAAATTAAAAAGTAACTCTTCATTCTCCCTTGCTCCCAGCCCTGGCACCAGCAAACTACAACTTCGTCACTATAGACTTAGCTATCTGAATTCACTTCACATACGTGGAATCATACAATACGTGACCTTTTGTATCATTTAGTATAATGTTTTCAAGACTCATCTACGTTTTAGCATGGATCAATGTCTCATTTGGTATGGCTGAATAATATTCCACTGTATGGCTGTATCACATTTTGTTTATTGATTAATTAGTTGATGGAAATTTGGGTTGATTTCACCTTTTGTCTATTGTGAATAGTGCTTCTATGTACATTTACATGCAATGTTTGTTTGAATACCTGTTTTCAATTATTTTGGATTTATACCTAGAAATAAAACTGCTCCATCTTCTGACAGGCAATTCTATGTTTAACTTTTTGAGGGACCACCAAACTGTTTTCCACAGTAGTGGCACAATCTTTCATTCCCACCAGCAATAGATGAGGGGTCCAGTATCTCCATCATTGCTATCCTTTCATATTTTATGTTGTTTTGATTATGCCCAACCTAATGGGTGTGAAGAGATACAGCATTGCGATTTTGATTCACATTTCCCTAATGATTAATGACATTAAGCATTTTTGTGTGTTTTATGGCCATTTGTACATCTTCTTTGGAGAAATATCTGCTCAAGTCTGTAGAGGGTTGTGAAGTGGCCCCAAAAAGATATGTCCAAGTTTTAACCCTTATCATCTGTGAAATTTAGCTCATTTGGAAATAGTCTTTGAAGATATAATTAAGTTAAGATGAGGTCATCCTGCATATAGGTTGGGCTCTAAATACAAGGACCATTCTCTTTGTAGGAGATAGAAAAAGATAAAACAGAGACACAGTGAAGAAGATCATATGAAGATGGAAGCAGAAATTAGAGTTATGCTGTCAGAAGTCAAGCAACACCAGGAGTCACCAGGAGCTGACAGAGGGAAGGAAGGGTTCTCCCCTAGAGCTTTCAGAGGGAGTGTGGCCTTACTGACACGTCCGTTTCAGGCTTCTTATTTTGAGAAGTGTGAGAGAATAAATGACCACCAACTTGAGGAATTTGTTACAGAAGCTGGGAAACTGATACAAAGTCTTTTGCCCATTTTTAAGTTGGGTTGTTTGTCTTTTATTTTGAACTGTAAGGGTTCCTTACAGATTCTGAATACCAGATCTTTGCCAGACAGACGACAGGTAAATATTTTCTCCCATTCTTTGGATTGTCTTTTCACTGTCTTTATAGTGTCATTTGATGTACATTTTTTTTTAATTTATATGAAGTCAAATTTATCTATTTTTCTTTTGTTGCTGGTGCTTTTGGTGTTACATCCTGTAATCTATTGTCAAATCCAAAGTGATGAAGATTTACCCTCATGTTTTCTTCTAAGAGTTGTATAGTTTTAGCTCTTACATTTGTCCACTTTGAGTTAACTTTGTATATGGAATGAGGTAAGGATCCAACTTTATTCTTTTGCATGTGGTTATCCAGTTGTCGTAACCCTATTTGTTGAAGAGATGGCTCTTCTGTTCTTTCCCCACTGAACAGCCTTGGCTATCATTGTCAAAAATCAATTGACCATAGATGTACAAGTTGACATCTGGATTCTTAATTTTGTTCTATATGTCTGTTATCACGTTTTGATTACTGTAGCTTTGTGATAAGTTTCGAGATCAGGAAGTATAAATCTTCCTACTTATTCTTTTTCACTATGTTTTTGGTTATTCAGAGTTGCTTGAACCTCCATATGAATTCTATTTCTGCAAAAATTTGGAATTTTGATAGGGATTGCTTAGAATCTGCAGATCACTTTGAGTCCTTTTGCAATCTGCATAATATCAACTCTTCAGTTCATGACCATGGGTATCTTTCTATTTATTTGGTCTTCTTTAATTTCTTTCTGTGATGTTTTATAGTTTTCAACATGCAAGTTTTTCACTTCCTTGGTCAATTATTCCTAATATTTTATTCTTTTTGATGCTATGGTAAATAAAACTTTTTTAAATTTAATTTTTGGATTGTTCATTGCTAACGTATTAAAATAAAGCTGATTTTTGCTTGTTGGTCTTATATCCTGCAACTTTTCTGAATTCTCTTATTAGCTCTACTAGTCTTTTTGCGGCGTCTTCAGGATTTTTTGTATATAAGATCATGTCATCTGTGAATAAGGATTTTACTTCTATCTTTTCATTATGGATACCTTTATTTCTTTTTCCTGGTTAGTTGCTCTGGCTAGAACTTCTATTAAGATGTTGAATAGAAGTCATAAAAGAGGGCATCCTTATCTTGTTCCTGATCTTAAAGGGAAAGCTTTCAGCCTTTCATCATTGAGTACGATAACTATGATTTTTTTAAATGAATGATCTTTATCATGTTTGGGAAGTTCCCTTCTATTCCTACTTTGTTGAGTATTGATAGGGAAAGGACATCGGATTTTTGTCAAATGCTTTTTCTCTATCAGTTGAGATGATTATCTGGGTATTCCCCACTTAATTCTATTAATGTGGTCCAGTGGGTTGAATAGCAGTCCCCATAAAAACATATAACTACCAAGAACCTAGAAATACAAGACCCTTATTTGGAATAAGACTTTTTGCAGATGTATTCAAGTAAGAATCCCAAGAAGAAATTATCCTGGGTTAGAATGGGCACTAAATCCCATGACAAGTGTTCCTGTAGGAGAAAGAAAAGGAGAGACACGAAAAAAATAGAGACGAAGACCTTTGCAAAGATGGAGGCAGAGACTGGAGTGATGCAACTACAAGCCAAGGATTCCTGGAAGGCACCAGAAACTAGGAGAGAGGTATGGAACAGATTCTCCCACAAAGCTTCCAAAAGGAACCAACCCTACTCACACCTTGATTTTAAATTTACGGCCTTCAGCATTGGATGGAATAAATTTATGTTGTTTTAAGCCATTCAACTTGTGAAGATTTGTTATGACAGCCCTAGGAAACTAATACACATGATGTGTTCCATTTATTGATTTTCATATGTCAGGTTAATTTTGCATTCCTGGGATAATTGACACTTGATCATGATATATAATCCCCTTAATCTGCTTCTGAAATTGGGTTGCTAGTATTTTGTGAGGATTTTCTTATTTATTTTCATAAGGAATATTGGTCTGCAGCTTTCATTCTTTCTCTCTCTCTTTCTCTCTGTCTGTCTCTGTCTCTTTTTTCTGTGTGATTTCTTAGTCTGGCTTTGGTATCAAAGTAATGTTGGCTTCAAATAATGAGTTAGAAAGTATCCCTTCCTCTTCAATTTTTTGGGAAAAATTAGAAAAGGCTAAGTGTTCATTTATCTTCAAATGTCTTGTAGAATTCACCAGTGAAGCCATCTGTTCAAGGACTTTTCTTTTTTGGGAGATTTTTGGCTACTCTTTACTTCTGTTGACAAAAAAGGCAACTTCTGGAAGACATTTGAAAAGGTTTATTCTGAGCCAGACGTGAGGACTATGACCTGTTACACAGCCTCAGGAGGTCCTGGAAACATGTGCCCAAGATGGTTGGGTTATAGCTTGGTTTTATACATTTTAGGGAGACATAAGACATCAATAAATACATATAAGGTATACATTGGTTTGGTCCAGAAAGTCAGGACAACTCGAAGTGGGGACTTACAGGTCATAGGTGGATTCAAAGATTTTTTGATTGGCAATCGGTTGAAAAATTTAAGTTAATTGGATAAAGAAAATGTGATACATATACACGATGGAATACTATGTAGCCATAAAAAAGAATGAGATCAGGTATTTTGCAGGGACATGAATGGAGCTGGAAGATCTTATCCTTAGCAAACTAATGCAGAAACAGAAAACCAAATATCACATGTTCTCACTTATAAGTGTGAGCTAAATGGTGAGAACACATGGACACACAGGGGAAACAACACACACTGGGACCCATCAGAGGGTGTAGGGTGGGAGGAGGAAGAGGATCAGGAAAAATAACTAATGGGTACTAGGCTTAATGTCTGGATGATGAAATAATATGTGCAACAAATACCCATGATACAAGTTTACCTATGTAACAAACTTGCACATGTACCCTTGACCTTAAAAGTAAAAAAAAAAAAAAAGAGTTAAGTTCTTATAT
This sequence comes from Homo sapiens, assembly GCF_000001405.40. Classification (NCBI taxonomy): domain Eukaryota; kingdom Metazoa; phylum Chordata; class Mammalia; order Primates; family Hominidae; genus Homo; species Homo sapiens. The sequence goes on along the minus strand of NC_000005.10, from coordinate 180,713,185 downwards.
AAAGAACTGGAATCAATAGAAAGGAATGTCTGGGTTAAGAAAAAGGGTTATGGAAACTACGGTTCTCATTGCGTAGATGAAGTCTCATAGGTGGCTGCCATTAGAGGCAATAGATGGCAAATGTTTCTTATTCAGACCTTAAAAGGTGCTAAACTCTCAACTAATCTCTTCAGGATCAGAAAAAGACCTGGAAAGGGAACGGAATTATCTACAGAATGTAAATTTCCACCACAAGAGACTGCTGTGCAGGGATATTTCAAAATATGTCAAAGAAATATATTTTGGGGTAAAATATTTTTATTTCTTTTAGAGCCTGCTATCTGTCATATGACGCTATACTAGAGTCAGGTTGGAATTTGGTGTCTTGTTGCTACAAAGAGTCTTGTGTCAGTCTTGATGTCTCCATTTTAATGTTGATGCTGTCAGTTTTGCCTGAACTCCAAAGGGAGGAGAGTATGACAAGGCATGTCTGATCTCCACTTCCCATCATGGCCTGAACTAGTTTTTCAGGTTTCTTTGGAATCCCCTTGGCTGAGAGAAGGGGTCCATTCAGTCAGTTAGGGGGCTTAGAATTTTACTTTTGTTTATACTTTATATAGGTCTATTCAGGTTTTTTATTTCTTCTTGAGTCAATTTTAGTAACTTGTGTCTTTCTAGGAATTTGTCCATTGCATTTGGGTTATTCAACTTGATGGCAAACAATTGTTCACAGTATGCTCCCATAATCTTTTTTATTTCTGTAAAATTGGTAGTAATGTACTACTTTAATTTCTGATTTAGTAACTTGAGTCTTCTGTTTTTTGCTTTTAGTCTAGCTAAAATTTGCCAATTTTGTTAATCTTCAAAAAAACAACTTTTGGTTTTGTTGATTCTATTTTTCTAATCTCTATTTCACTCATTTCCATTTTAATCTTTATTATTTCCTTTCCTCTGTTAATTTTGGGTTTAGTTTGTTCTTTCTTTTCTAGTTCCTTGAGATGTACATACACACCCACACTTATGAGATGCAGCAAAGCAGTGCTTGCAGGGAAATTTACAGCTGTGAACATGAATTAAGAAAGAAGAAAGATTTACAAACTACAACGTAAATGTACACCACAACCAAACAACTGCAGAACAGGAATTCTTCTCGAGTACCGTGGAATATTCCTCAGGATAGACCATTTATTATGACACAAAAAGTCTTAATAAACTTACAAATATTCAAATCACACAAAGAATTTTTTGATTATGATGGAATAAAACTAGGTATCAATAACAGAAGGAATATGGGAAAAAATCATAAATATGCGGAAATGAAACACAATTTTAAACTACCAATGGGACAAAGAAGAAAACACAAGGGAAGTTAAAAATAACCTTAAGCTATTTTCCTTCTTTGTCTCTTGTAATAATTTTGGCTTAAAGTCTATTTTATCTTATATTAGTATTGCTTCTCCAGCTCTCTTTTGGCTAATATTCACATAGAATATCTATCTACAGTTTCATTTTAAACCTATTTGTGCCTTTGGATCTAAAGGGAGTTTCTCATACATAGCATATAGATGAATCATGTTTCTTTTAAAATTTATTTTTGCCAGTTTCTGCCTTTTAATTGGAGAGGATTTCTTTTGAGACAGGATCTTACTATGTTGCTCAGGCTGGACTCAAACATTTACACTCAAGTAATTCTCTCACCTCAGCCTCCTGAGTAGGTGGGATTATGTGCATGCACCACCATGCCCAGCTAATTGGAGAATTTAATATATTTACATTTAAAGCAAATATGGATTAGAAAAGACTTACTTACATCATTATTCTATTTCTTTTCTGTCTTATATATTTTTTCTTCCTCAATTCCTCCAACATTGTCTTTTTTCATGTTTAATTTTTTTGTAATGTACCATTTAATTCCATTCTCATTATTATTCTTCATAGTTTTAGTAATTTTCTTAGCAGTTATATTGGGCATTACAATTAACATGTTAAACTTTATAATTATCAAATTTGAGTTAATACTATCTTGGCATCAAAATTATTCAAGAATCCTACTGCTATATATGTTTTCTGTGCCTTCCTATTTTGTTATTGCAAATTATATCTTTACATATTGTGTTCCCATTATCATAGATTTATATTAATCTTTTGTTTATTTGCCTTTTATGTAAGATGGGAAAGAAAAGAAAGGTTGCAAACCAAAAATACAACAACTGACCTTTATATTTACCTGTGCAGTTACCTTTACCAGTGTATTTTATTCTTTGTATGGCTTCAGATTACTGCCTAGTGTCCTTTTATTTCAGCCTGAAGGATTTCTTTAGAATTTCTTGTACAGCCAATGTATTAGCAAAGATTTCCTTGAGTTTTTATGTATTTGCATATGCTTAATTTCTCCTTCACTTTGAAGGATTGTTTAGCCACGTAGAGTTTTTGATTGGCATCAGTTTTTTTTTTTTCTCTCAGTATTCTAATGTCATCCCACTGCTCTCTGGCCTCCACATTTTCTGATGAGAATTTGACTGTAAATCTTATTGAAGATTCTTGTTCATAAGGAGTCACTTCTAGGTTGCTGCTTTCAAGGTTCTCTCTTTGTCTTTCCGAAGTCTGATTATAAGGCATCTTGGCATGTATATATTTTAGTTTAGTATATATCTTAGTGGATTTTGCTGAGCTTCTTTGATGTGTAGGTTAATGTTTTCCATCAGATTTGGGAAGTTTTCAGCCAATATTTCCCCAAATGTTCTTTCTGTCCCTTTCTCTCCCACCTCACCCCCTGGGACTCCCATTTTGTGTATCTTGGTATACTTCTTGGGGTTACACAGGTTTCAGACCTTCCTCATTTTTCCTCATCCTTTTTCCTTTCTCTCTGAAAAATGCAGCAAGGGGATTCAAGAGCCTACTTGAACAAGCAGAAAAAACAATGAGCAAATTTGAATTAAATCAATTGAGATCCCGGGCAGAGGCCCTCCTCAAACTTCCCTTTTTTGATGTAAATGCAGATATTCTATACAGTTCTGTTGTCTTTTACTAGGACTTTTGTGATAAAATTCAAATAAGATTTTATTTCTTGGTAATTTTGGCTTTCACAATTTATCTTTAAATCCTTGAGCAATCTGTATACAATTAAGAGATTTCTGACATTTATTCTTACACTAAGTGGATCAACTCTAGGATTTAGGCATGTTAACTTTACTTCTGTTGTGTTTTGAATCTCTCCAGAGTTGCATGTAGATAGCATTTATTTCTGTGCACTTAAACCCATTTAGAAAATAACTACAAAGTAAAAATGTAGAGGAAATAGAAATGTATTTTTTCACGAACATTTTGATACAAATTTCATCATTTAATGATTCACCAATTTCTTGCATTAATTTGAATTTAAGCATTTAATTCAAAGAGAGGGGAGCATTCATTATTGATATACGTGGTCTTTTAAAAGCTCCATCCTTTATAAATAGTCAAGGTTTGGGCCATACAAAGTATATTTTTATCATGGAAAAATTTCAACTCCTCAAGCCATAATGTTGAACAGAATTGGAGTATTTTCTTTATAATTTCTTGAACAGGCAAATGAAAGCTTATTATAGAATGCATGTATTTTCTTTTCTTTTTGGAACATCAACACCAGTATATTGCTGGCAGCTATTGTATTAAAAAATAAAGTATATTTTCACTATCAAAAAAAATCAATTGAGATTATCTGTCTTAAGAACCAGCAATAAAAAGGATAAGGAGAAATGGACAAAGCCTGAGACCTGTGGCATCAAATGCCCCTTCATATGCATGATGAGTGTCCCAGAATGAAAACAGAGAGACAAAGAATCAGAAGAATGTCTTAAAATACAATGGCTGAAAACATACATTTGATTTAATAAACTTTGGTTGGAACTTGTAACTCAGTTATGCTCATTTATGTATGCCCATGGCGATTTCATTCTATAATGGTGGCGTGGCGTAGGGGCCGAAGAACTACGTGGCTCACAAAGCCTAAATATTTACTATTTGGCTACAAAAGCAGCAAAAGTTTGCTGATCCCTGTCCTATATTATTAGAAGATCCTAGGTGGGCTTGTCAGACACTGCTTTAGAATGATATTAAAAGGGTAATTAGTTGTTTTTTAATCCCTTATTTGTGGGATTTTTCTAAATCAGCTATTTAGAATTATGATAATACTCTGAAGCATCCAGACATGCAGTTTTCTGAGGCAGAGTTGGGATGGATTTAATGGCCTTGTGTATATGAAGGGCCCATGTAGCTGGAAAGTTATGCTGTCATTAAAATGGTGGTGAAATCATGGGAGAGGATGTGGGTTGTTGTAAGTGGGGAGCAAAAATGAGATAGTGGAAAAGTAAAGATTATAAATATAAGTCCTCCTGATTCCAAAGTTTATATTCTTTCTGTTACACAGCAACTGGTAAATCGGTTAAAATGATATATTTTTCTTTTTATTGTGGTAAGAACACTTAACATGAGAATTATCCTCCTAGAAAATTTTTAAGTGTACAATACGGTATTACTAACTATAGGTACAATGTTGTACAGCAGATGTTTTTAGTCTGCTGGTGACTTTTCCTAAATACTCTGTCACAGATGATGTGATCATCACCTAAGTTAAGTGGTCTTTTCTTACTATTAAGGTATTATGTGCCATTCATTCTCCTCAGAAGCAAATGCATATGTGGCTACAATAAAGTACTTAAAAATAATTTAGGTAATAAAAAAAGTTATTGATTTTTAAAATTCTAAGGAAAAATATGTATTCAACATATTTATGTTAATGTTAAACAAACAGCTTATAAAGGCTGATTTAATGATAATTTGGAATTATATGCAGCTACTTGTCAACCTTACTCTGGATATCTTATTTCTTTCGTTTTTGCCAAGAATCCCCAAAAGCATCAGGTTTTTTAATGCAGTGATGATAAGCAGATAAACAAAGCAATGATGAAATAGATAGAATTAGTTCTAAGTCTCTGTAGAAATTCTCTGGAGGCCCCCATCGTCTTTTTTTTACATCTCCCTCATCCCCAGGGCTCATCCATTTCTGATAGTAATTAACCACAGGAGGCTGAAGCCCAGGGGATGTCAAAATAAGGCAGAGTCTTGTGCAGCCAACATTATCCTGTTGCTTTCTCTATGTCCTTGGGTAAAATAAAAGCAGTTTGCCAACCTGAGCTCAACTCTTTTGCCTGGAGCAGGAACTCCCAGTCACCAGGTAGGATCAAAACCTTCTATTTCTTTGCTGTAAGTTCTGCATTGGGTTCTGGTCCCCTTTGGGGTACTGATGATGCTGTGTGTGAGCATGAGAGAGACTTCGTATGCTCACACACAGCATATAAAGGACGTTTAAGTGTAGGATGAAGTTCTGATGACCAATGGAACTGCTATAAGAAAAGAAAAGCACAGCAACATCACTTCCAGTCTGTCGTAGAAAAATGAAAGGCTTTACATAATCAATCGGTTATAGCATTTTTATTCACAATCATGTTATTATTCAAGCCTAGTGCCCCTATTTTGTTTCTTTATTTTTTATTTTTTTCTGTAGGAGTCTCCCTCTTCCGCCCAGGCTGGAGTGCAGTGGCATGATCTCCACTCACAACAACCTCCGCCTCCTGGGTTCAAGTGATTCTCCTTCCTCAGCCTCCCGAGTAGCTGGGATTACAGGCGCCTGCCACCAGGCCCGGCTAACTTTTGAATTTTATAGTAGAGATGGGATTTCACTATGTTGGCCAGGCTGGTCTCAAGCTCCCGACCTCAAGTAATCTGCCCATCTTGGCCTCCCAAAGTGGTGGGATTACAGCCCTGAACCATTGCGCCCGGCCCCATATTTTGTTTTTTTTTTTTTGAGTTGGGGTCTTGCTCTGTCGCCCAGGCTGGAGTGCAGTGGCCCGATCTCGGCTCACTGTAAGCTCTGCCTCCCGGGTTCACGCCATTCTCCTGCCTCAGCCTCCCGAGTAGCTGGGACTACAGGCACCCACCACCGCGCCTGGCTAATTTTTTGTATTTTTTTAGTAGAGACGGGGTTTCACCATGTTAGCCAGGATGGTCTCGATCTCCTGACCTCGTGATCCACCCGCCTCGGCCTCCCAGAGTGCTGGGATTACAGGTGTGAACCACCACGCCCGGCCCCATATTTTGTTCTTAATACTATTCTCTACTAAAGTAAACTCAAAGTCTTTGGAGAGTAGTTAATTCCAGTTTTTTGAGGCTGAAAGAAAATATTTGGACAGCAAGGTATATCCAGTGAAGTTTGTAAGAGAATCAGTGACAGTCCTCAAAAAGCAATGAGCCACCTTAAGGGAATTTCCACTGGCCACGTTGTGATGATTGAGAGTAACGATAATAAAGATAACTCAGGTTAACTGGGACAAGACCCTGAGTTCATAATGATACTGAGTTCATAAAGATACTCAGGTTTATAGAAAGCATCAGAAGTGTAGTGTAATCCAAAGGAAGGGTGGATTTCAAATGACATGTTTAACTTTTCAAATTGATTTTAATAAGCAAGAATGTGTTTTTCCTCACATATATATAGATACAGTATACACACATGTGCAGGTACTTTGTTACTTCTGTTAAGTAGATGTTTTTTAGAAATATAATATGTATATCACCACCTATATGAGCTGGAAAGATAAAGCAAAACAAGGAAACGCAAAAGCCAAGTTAATGGGTACAAAAAATAGTTAAAAGAATGAATCAGACCTAGAACTTGACAGCACAACAGGGAGACTAGAGTCAATAATAATTTAATTGCACATTTAAAAATGACTAAAAGACTGCAATCGGATTGTATGTAACACCAAGGATAAATACTTGAAGGGATAGATGCCCCATTTTACTTACATGCTGTGATTATTACGCATTACATTCCTGTAGCAAAACGTCTCATGTACTCCATATATATGTGTGTGTATATATACACACATACACACACACACACACCCCTACTACGTACCCATATCAATTAAAATTTAAAAAACAAAAGTCCTGTGGAAATAAGGAAAAGTATTAACAACAGGAACAACTGATCAGCTCCCGAGATCTTATGTGAACACCAGGTAGAAAGGAAGCGTTGCAGGTAACTTGTGCTCGTGTTCATACAAAAACAAAAATAACTGTAAAAGGAGGGCTCAACTATTCACAACAGCCAAGACATGGCATGAACCCAGGTGTCCATCACCCGTGGACTAGATAAAGAAAATGTGGTACTATACAGCTGTAAAAAAAAAAAACCTGAATGAAATCATGTCCTTTACAGCAACATGGATGGAGATGGAGGATTTTATTCTTAGTGAGCTGACCCGGAAACAGAAAACCAAATGTCTCATGTTCTCGCTGACAAGTGGGAACTAAACGTTGGGTACACAGGGTCATAGAGATGGTAACAATAGACACTGAGGACTACTAGAAGGGGGGAGGCGGGAAGGGGAGAAGTGTTAAAAAACTACCTATTCTTTGGGAGGCCGAGGCGGGTGGATCACAAGGTCAGGAGATCGAGACCATCCTGGCTAACACGGTGAAACCCCGTCTCTACTAAAAATACAAAAACAAAATTAGCCGGGCGTGGTGGTGGGCGCCTGTAGTCCCAGCTACTCAGGAGGCTGAGGCAGGAGAATGGTGTGAACCCGGGAGGCGGAGCTTGCAGTGAGCCGAGATCGCGCCACTGCACTCCAGCCTGAGTGACAGAGCGAGACTCCATTTCAAAAAAACAAAACAAACAAACAAACAAACAAAAAAACCCTACCTATTGAATGCTATGTTCTCTATTTGGGTGATGGGTTCAATAGAAGCCCAAACATCAGCATCACACAATATACCCATGTAACAAACCTGCACGTGTACCTTAAAAGGATGGCTCAGCAGTGTGTTCCAAGAAAATAAATTAGCTACATATCTCCAGAAAAAAGAGCTAGGTGTGCAGACTACCTCATTTATTCTCATTCAGGGAACAAGATGTGTGGCTGTGCTGTCCAATACTTAACAAATTGAAATGTGGCTACTGAGACTGAAAGGGAAATTTAATTTTATTTAATTTAACCTAAGTTAAAAAATTGATTCTCAGTTCAGCTATTGGAAAACAAAGTGTGCTTGGAACAACTTGGATAAGTAAATATATGCTTTGGAGTGTAATTATTATAAAATCTAAATACCGATGAAGTATTGCCAATAAAAAATTAGCATCTGATTTGAAATGTACAATAAGTATAAAATACATGCTAAATTTTGGACAGTATGAAATTAATACCTCATTAATTTTTTGTATTCAAACATGTTGAATTAATAGTTTGGGTATACTGAGTTAAATAAGATATATTGTTAATTTACTTTTTTAACCTTTTAAAATGTGGCTATTAGAAAAATTTTAATGACATACTTTGCTTACATTGTTTCCACTGGGCAGCTCTGTCCTAGATAATCTTACTAATTATAGTGAGTGACTATTGATAAGAAAAACACAGGTTTATAATTAAATCAATAGAACAGATCAATATGTCAACATAACATGACAGTAAGTTAGGTACTTCTGTCCTACTAATGTTAAAAGCATCCCTCATTTCTGGGCAAAAAGCCAGCTCTCTAGGGAAGATAGAGTTGTAGCAGTCACCATGATGTAGCATGTAAACCTTTGTTACAGAAAGAATCTCAGCCTAATCAGTGATCACCAGCTCAGCATTTCCTTGGAGGGCACGTGTATTTTTGTATGCTGACCAAGAGTAGATTGGGCAGGTTCTGGAATATCTGTTGGTCTGAGGCAATCCTGCATTTTCTTTTGATCTAGGAAGACAAACTTGGGAGCAGTAGGAGGATTTTAAAAAGGAATATGGAGAAACAAATTCACGTCCACAGCAATGCATTTTACAATTGGCTTTAGTTTTTACGTAGGGATCAATTTCGGAGAAATTATAATACTCTGTTTTTGCTATCTGTGCTTTCTAAGGTGTTTAAAGTGCATAAAGGAATCTGGATATAGTAAATTTAAGATGTATCCGCTTAGAGAAGAGGCAATTATACAGAAAAGTAGCTGGGGGCGTGGCTCCATAGAGTGAGGGAGGGCTTTTAAAGGTGAGGCAGTGGCATTATCAAAAGGGGGATCACAACACACACGCTGTGGTGGGAGATTACAAACAAATTAGGTCATCCGAAGAGAGAGGTTGTCTTAACTAAGTAACAAAAGAAGGTGCCAAGGAGATAAGCGGGGACTGTATTGTGGAGCTCCGCTGATGCCTTCCCAAGGATTCCTGATGTAGTCAGAGGACAGTGGTCAGAGGTTTTTGATCATAGTGATTACAACACATTTTCCAGGTTTTTTTAATACTTTAAGTTCTGGGATAGATGTGCAGAACGTGCAGGTTTGTTACATAGGAATACACGTGCCATGGTGGTTTGCTGCACCCATCAACCCGTCATCTACATTAGGTGTTTCTCCTAATTCTATCTCCCCCTTGCCCCCAACCCCCTGAGAGGTCCCCGTGTGTGATGTTCCCCTCCCTGTGTCCATGTGATCTCATTGTTCAACTCCCACTTATGAGTGAAAACATGCGGTATTTGGTTTTCTGTTCCTGTGTTAGTTTGGTGAGAATGATGGCTTTCAGCTTCATCCATGTCCCTGCAAAGGACATGAACTCACCCTTTTTATGGCTGCATAGTATTCCATGGTGTATATGTGCCACATTTTCTTTATCCAGTCTATCATTGTTGGACATTTGCATTGATTCCAGGTCTTAGCTATTGTGAATAGTGCTGCAATAAACACACATGTGCATGTGTCTTTATAGCAGAATAATTTATAATCCTTTGGGTATATACCCAGTAATGGGATTGCTGGGTCAAATGGTATTTCTGGTTCTAGATACTTGAGGAATGGCCATACTGTCTTCCACAATGGTTGAACTAATTTACACTCCCACCAACAGTGTAAAAGCCTTCCTATTTCTCCACATCCTCTCCAGCATCTGTTGTTTCCTGACTTTTTAATGATCGCCATTCTAACTGGTATGAGATGGTATCTCATGGTGGTTTTGATTTGCATTTCTCTAATAATCGGTGATAATTAGCGTTTTTCATGTTTGTTGGCCATGTGAATGTCTTCTTCTTGTTTGTTTGTTTTTTTTTTTTTTTTTTTGAGACGGAGTCTCACTCTGTCGCCAGGCTGGAGTGCAGTGGTGCGATCTTGGCTCACTGCAACCTCTGCCTCCTGGGTTCAAACGATTCTCCTACCTCAGCTGCCTGAGTAGCTTAGACTACAGGTGCCTGCCACCACACACAGCTAATTTTTGTGTTTTTAGTAGAGATGGGGTTTCATCATGTTGGGTAGGATGGTGTTGATCTTTTGACCTCGTGATCCGCCTGCCTCAGCCTCCCAAAGTGCTGGGATTACAGGCATGCACCACCATGCCCGTCTAAATGTCTTCCTTTGAGAACTATCTGTTCATATCCTTTGCCCACTTTTTGATGGGGTTGTTTATTTTTTTTCTTGTAAGTTTGTTTAAGTTTCTTGTCGATTCTGGATATTAGCCCTTTGTCAGATGGATCGATTGCAAGAATTTTCTCCCATTCTGTAAGTTGCCTGTTTGCTCGGATGATAGTTTATTTTGCTGTTCAGAAGCTCTTTAGTTTAATTAGATCCCATTTGTCTATTTTGGCTTTTGTTGCCATTGCTTTTGGTGTTTTAGTCATGAAGTCTTTGCCCATGCCTATGTCCTGAATAGTATTGCTTAGGTTTTCTTCTAGAGTTTTTATGGTTTTAGGTCTTAGATTTAAGTCTTTAATCCATCTCGAGTTAATTTTTGTATAAGGTGTAAGGAAGGAGTCCAGTTTCAGCTTTCTACATATGGCTAGCCAGTTTTCCCAGCACCATTTATTAAATAGGGAATCCTTTCCCCATTGCTTGTTTTTGTCAGGTTTGTCAAAGATTAGATGGTTGTAGGTGTGTGGTGTTATTTGGGAGGCCTCTGTTCTGTTCCATTGGTTTATACATCTGTTTTGGTACCAGTACCATGCTGTTTTTGTTACTGTATTTAAGTTATCAGTGTATCTAGGATTTACATATGTTATTGAATAATAAATTATTCCTACTTAGATTTAAAATACTTAATTTTTTATATTAAAATCCTAGAAACTTTGGCTAATTTCTGAATTTTTAATTTTTTTCTAATTGGCTTCCTGGTTCAGTTTCACTGTTTTTGCTATTTGTGACTAGATAGTATTTTTTAATAATAAAAATATAATGCTTTTTAGATGTAGCTAAGTCATTATTAATAGATTATTATTTTAGTTAAGCTTTAGAACAATTTCGTCAAGTTAGAAAATATTGGTAAGTTTACTGGGATTGTCTTGAGTTCATTGATAAATTTAGAAAACATTTCCATCTTTAAAACATAGTTTTTCCTATAAGAAGGACGTATGTAACACCACATGTTAAAATATTTCATATTATTCAGAAATTTAGACACTCCTCTATGAGACCTGTTTATTTTTTATGTAGGTTATTCATAAGTATTCAATATCTTCTGTTCCTACTCTTTTTGAGATCTCTCCTCCATTAAACTAGCTCATGCTAATATTAGAAATCTATGACTTTTTTCTACTTCACTTTTATGTCTTTACCTCTACTTTGGAATTTTATGTGAAGAAGGTGGGGTTAATGTCCTGTGCAGTTTGTAGCACACTGTCATGACAAGCTTATGCAAGACATAAGCATAATTTATCTTATTCCCTTTCTTTATCCACTATGCTCACCGCTATTACCCTGCATCCACTGACTCTTGATCATTTCTCAAAATGTACATTGTTTGGGGTGGGGAGAGAAGAAGCAAATAATTATTTATTTAGAGTGATTTATTTTAATAAATTCTAATCTATCTCCAAACAACTTGGTCTCTAATTTTTTTAACTTTAATTTTTAATTGAGGTTTTAAAAAAACATAGCATTAAACTTACCACATTAACCATTTTAAGTGTACGGTTCAGTAGTGTTAATATATTCATGTTGTTGTGTAACAGATCTCCAGAGCTTTTTCATCTTACATGCTGAAACTCTACAACACATTAAATAACTCTCCATTTCCTCTACCCCGTCTCCTAATAACTATCATTCTTTCTGTTTCTATAAAATTGACAGCTTTAGATGCCATATATAAGTGAAATTAATACAAATTTTAGCATAAGTTTTTTTGTAACTGGCTTATTTCACTATCAGGGGAAATTCACTCCCGATATTTCACAGAGGTTCTTTTCTATTTTCCCTAAGTGTCGGCTGGTCTGAGAAATAAAGGGACAGAGTACAAAAGAAAGAAATTTTAAAGCTGGGCATCCAGGGGAGACATCACATGTCGGCAGGTTCCGCGATGCCCCCAAGCTGCAAAACCAGCAAGTTTTTTAGTGATTTTCAAAAGGGGAGGGAGTGTACGAATAGGTGTGGGTCACAGAGATCACATGCTTCACAAGGTAATAAGATATTACAAGGCAAATGGAGACAATTTATTAGGCAGGAATTTCCTCATCCTAATAAGCCTAGGAGCACTACAGGAGACTGGGGCTTATTTCATCCCACAGCTATGATCATAAAAGACAGCCACCCCCAAAGCGGCCATTTCAGAGGCCTCCCCTTAGGGATGCATTCTCTTTCTCAGGGATGCTCCTTGCTGAGAAAAAGAATTCAGCGATATTTCTCCTATTTGCTTTTGAAAGAAGAGAAGTCTGGCTGTGTTCCGCCCAGCTCACAGGCAGCCAGAGTTTAAGGTTATCTCCCTTGTTCCCTGAACATTGCTGTTATCCTGTTCTTTTTTCAAGGTGCTCAGATTTCATATTGCTCAAACACACATGCTCTACAAACAATTTGTGCAGTTAACGCAATCATCACAGGGTTCTGAGGCGATATACATCCTCCTCAGCTTACAAAGATGACAGGATTAAGAGATTAAAGTAAAGGCAGGCATAGGAAATCACAAGGTTATTGATTGGGGAAGTGATAAGTGTCCATGAAATCGTCACGATTTATGTTCAGAGATTGCAGTAAAGACAGGCGTAAGAAATTATAAAAGTATTAATTTGGGGAACTAACAAATGTCCATGAAATCTTCACAATTTATGTTCTTCTGCCATGGCTTCAGCCGGTGCCTCCGTTTGGGGTCCCTGACTTCCGCAACATTTCACTTCACATAAGGTCCTCATGATTAATCTATGTAGTAGAATGTGACAGGAAGGCTTTTGAAGGCTGAGTAATATTTCATTGGATGAGTATACCACATTTTTGTTTATTTGTTCATCTGTTGATAAATATTTGTGTTGTTTCCACCTGTTGGATATTATAAATAATGTTGTAATGAACACAGGTGTGCAAGTATTTGTTCAAGTCCTTGATTTCAATTATTCTGGGTATATGCCCAGCAAGGAGTTTGCTAAACCATATGGTAATTTTATTTTTAATTTTCTGAGGAGCCTGTCATACTTTTTCCCAAAGCAACAGCTCCATTTTAGATTTCCCAAAAGCAATGCAGAAGGGTTCCAATTTCACATTCTTACTAACATTTATTTTCCGTTTTTGGTAGTAACCACTCTAGTTAAGTATGAAGTGATATCTCGTTGTAGTTTTTATTTGCATTTCCCTAATGGTTAGTGATACTTAGAATCTTTTCATGTGCTTATTGGCCATTTGTAAATCTTCTATGGGGAAATGTTTATTCAAATCCTTTGTCCATTATTGAGTTGGGTTATTTTGTTGTTATTTAGTCATAGGAGTACTTTATACATTCTAGATATTAACCCCTTGATATAGTCTAGATATCGTCCCCTCCAAATCTCATGTTGAAATTTGACCCACAGTGTTGGAGTTGGGGCCTGGTGGGAGGTGTTTGGTTTATGGAGGCACATTCCTCATGAATGGCTGGTGCTCTCCCTGTGGTAATGAATGCATTTACACTCTACTAATTCATGTGAGACCTAGTTGTTTAAAAGTGCCTCATATCTCCCTTGCTACCTCTTTCACTATGTGACATACTGGTTTCCCTTTGCTTTCCACCATGAGTCAAAGCTTCCTAAGGTCCTCACCAGAAGCAGATGCTGGTGCCATGCTTCTTGTACAGTTTGCAAAACCTTGAGCCAAATAAACTTCTTTTCTTTATAAATTACCCAACCTCAGGCATTTCTTTATAGCAACACAAATGAACTAACACAGAAAATTGGTACCAAGAGTGCGGTGTTGCTATAAAAATACTTAAAAATGTGGAAGCAGCTTGAGAACTGGGTAATGGGCAGAGGTTGGAAGAATTTGAAGGGCTCATAAGAAGACAGAAAGACTAGGGAAAATTTGGAACTTCTTAGAGACTGGTTAAGTGGTTGTAGTCAAAATACCGATAGAAATATGGACAGTGAAGGACAGGCTGATGAAGTATCAGATGAAAATGAGAACATTATTAGGAATTGAAGCAAAGGTCACCCTTGCTACACCATAGCAAAGAATTTGGCTGGATTGTGTCCATGTCCTAGAACTTTGTGTAAGGCTAAGCTTAAGAGTGATGACATAAGGTGGAAGAAATTTCTTTTTTTTTCTTTCTTTTTCTTTTTCTTTTTTTTTTTTTTTTTTTGAGATAGATTTTCACTCTTGTTGCCCAGGCTGGAGTGCAATGGCATGATCTCGGCTCACTGCAACCTCTGCCTCCCGGGCTTAAGCAATTCTCCTGCCTCAGCCTCCCGAGCAGCCGGGATTAAAGGCATGCACCACCATGCCCAGTTATTTTTTGTATTTTTAGTGGAGAAGTTGTTTCATCATGTTGACCAGGCTGGTCTTGAACTCCTGACCTCAGGTAATCCTCCTGCCTCGGCCTCCCAAAGTGCAGGCATGAGCCACTGTGCCCTGCAAAATTTCTAAGCAGCAAAGTGTTCAAGAAGTTGCATAGCTGGCTCTAACAACCTACAATCAGATATGGGAGCAAAGGAATAACTTGATAATTAAAAGAGAAGTAGAGTGTTAACATTTGGAAAATTCACAGCCTCGCCATGTGGTCAAGAAAGAAGAGGCAGTTTCAGAAGAGGAATTCAAGCAGGCTGCAGAGAAACCACTTGTTAGAAAGATTAGTATGACTAAAAGGGAGCCAAGTGATAATATTCAAGACAATGGGGGAAAGGCTGAGGGGACCGAGAGGACGGACTGATTTGGGGAAGAGAAAGGAAAGAAAACCAGGCCTAGAGTACTGCTGCCCTGTGCTGCCCCAGAATGCTGCTTCTCACGTCCTGGCCACTCCAGCCACAGGCAAGGCTCACAGATCACCAGTTACAATCACTTTATTGATTGTGTCCTTTTATGCATGGAAGTTTTAGGTCTGATATAGTCCCATTTGTCTATTTTTCCTGGTGTTGCTTGTGCTTTTGATATCATATTTAAGAAATCATTGCCAAATCCAACACCATGAAGATTTTCCCCTATGTTTCCTTCTAAGAATTTTGTAGTATGGGGATCTTTTTCTTTTAAGTTTAGGGTACATGTGCAGGTTTGTTACATAAGTAAACTTGTGGCTTGGGGGTTTGTTGTACAGATTATTTCATCACCCAGGCATTAAGCCCAGTACCTATTGGTTATTTTTCTTGATCCTCTTTCTCCTTACACTGTCCACCCTCTGATAGTCCCCAGTATGTGTTGTTCCCCTCTATGTGTCCATGCATTTTCATAATTTAGCTCGCACTTATAAGTGAGAACATGTGGCATTTGGTTTTCTGTTCTTGTGTTAGTTTCCTAAGGATAATGTCCCCTATCTCCATCCATATCTCTGCAAAGGATTTGATCTCATTCTTTTTTTATGATTGCATAGTATTCTCTGGCATGTACCACGTTTTCTTTATCCAGTCTATCATTGATGGACATTTAGGTTGATTTCATGTCTTTGTAATTGTGAATAGTGCTGCAATAAACATACGGGTGCATGTGTGTTTATAATAGAACAATTTACATTCCTTTGAGTGTATGCCCCATAATGGGATTGCTGTGTTGAATGGCATTTCTGTCTTTAGATTTTTGAGGAATCACCATTTTGTCTTCCGCAATGGCTGACCTAATTTACACTCCCACCAATAGTGGATAAGCATTCCTTTTTCTCCACAATCTCATCAGCATCTGTTATTTTTGGACTTTTTAATAAATCCCAAAGTGCTGGGATTACAGGCACCCGGCCCTTTTCTGCATCTTTTGAAATAGTCATGTAGGTTTTGTCTTTAGTTCTGTTTATGTGGTGAATCCCATTTATTAATTTGCATATGTGGAACCCAACTTGCAGCCCAGGAATAAAGACTACTTGATTGTGGCGGATAAGCTTTTTGATGTGCTGCTGTTTGATTTGTCTGTATTAGGTTTATGTTGTTCATCAATTCTGAGTAATTTTTACATATGGTTTAACATAAGGATTCAAGTTTATTCTTTTGCATATGAACATCCAGTTTTCCCAGTATCATTTGAGAAGAGAGTCTCCTGTCTCCCTCTGCACCCCTGTCAAAAATCATCTGACCACGTGTGTGATGTTAAGCAGAATAGTGTGCACTAGTATCAATCCCAGGTGAAGACTAAACACCTTGCCAATTTCTGCAAAGTTTTCTAAATCTGGCAGAAGGTTTTACTCAAACCCAGCTGCCAGAGTGTGAGTGTGGTGAGACAGAACACTCTTAAAATACACTAAGTAAAACAACTTTATTGTTAACAGATAGGAAGCAAGGATAAACAGAAGGCTGGAATATGTGGTGTGCTGGTGCCTCAAGGCTTAGGAAATCTTTCCAGGACAGATAAAATTTTGTTTACATATCCCACTCTGTATCTCAGCTGAGTGATGCCTAAAACAGTCCACTTTGGATTTTATACCTCTGGGTGCAACTTGGATCACTGAGCACAAGTGTTGTAAAATATTCAGTTCTGGAAGGAATGATGACACTGTCTAGAGTCTTCCAAACAGGTCCTTCTAATTTCAGGATGTTTCATTTTACGGTTATTCCAAGAATGCAAGTGGGAGTAGGCAGAGCTGGGTCATCCAAGGCAATGCAGAGATTTGTCCTCCTGCACAGTAGGATTTACTTCTGGACTCTCTATCCAAATCTATTGGTCTGTATGTATATCTTTATGCCAGTACCATGCTGTTTCAATTACTGTAGCTTTGCAATATATTTTGAAATCAGGAAGTGAGAGACCTCAAACTTTGTTTCTTTTCAAGACTGTTTTGGCTATTCAGGGTCTCTTGAAGTTCTACATCAATTTTAGAATGAATTCTTCTGTTTTTGAAAAAAAATTATTGGAATTTTGATAGGGATTAAAGAGGACTGAATATATTGTTTTGAATAGTGTGTACATTGTAACGATATTAAGCCTTCCAATTCACGAACATGGGATGTATTTTCTTTATTTATGTCTTCTTTCATTTCTTTCACCATTTTATAGTGTTTGGATGTACAAGTCTTTCACTTGATGGTTTAATTTCACTTCTAAGTGTTTTATTCTTTTTGATGCCATTTTAAATGAAGTTTTTTCTTAATTTCCCTTTTAGATTATTTGTTTTTAGTCTATAGAAATGCAGTTGATTTGTTTGCTGATCTTTTATTCATCAACTTTGCTGAATTTATTCATTCATTTTAACTGTGTGTTTGCACACTCTATGGGACATTCTACCTATAAGATCATATCATCTGTGAACAGAGATAGCTTTACTTCTTCATTTCCAATTTGGATATCTTGTATTTCTTTTCCTTCCCTAATTAATCCAGCTGGGACTCCCAGTAGTATATTGAATAGAGGTGGTGGGAACCAACATCCTCACCTTGTTCCTGATTTTAGAAGAAAAACTTTCAGTCTTTCACCACTGAGTATGGTGTAAGTTGTGCATTTTTCATACATGGCTTTATAATGTTGAGGTGGTTTCCTTTTATTCCTAGCTGATTGTTTTTACCAGGAAAAGGGTATTATCTTTTGTCAAATGCTTTTTTCTGCATCAGTTGTGATGATCATGTAGTTTTGTCTTTTATTAATGTGGAATATTACATTGATTAATCTTCATATATTTTCCAGCATTAAACCATCCTTACACTCCAGGAATAAAACTTGATCATGATGTAGAATCCTCTAAATGTGCTGTGAATTCAGATTGATAATATCTTTTGAGGGTTTTTGTTTGTTTGTTTGTTTGGAGACGGAGTCTCACTTTGTTGCCCAGGCTGGAGTGCAATGGTGCAATCTTGGCTCACGGCAAGCTCTGCCTCTTGGGTTCATGCCATTCTCCTGCCTCAGCCTCCCGAGTAGCTTGGACTACAGGCACCTGCCACCACACCCAGCTAATTTTCTTTTGAGGGTTTTTGCACCAATAATCATCAGGATTATTCTACAGTTTTCTTTTATTTTAGTGACTTTGTCTGGCTTTGATATTAGGACAATGCTAGCTTCATAGAATGAGTTTGTGAGTGTTTTTTCCTATTTATTTATTTTTTGAAGAATTGGAGCATAATTGATCTTAATTCATCTTTAATATTTGGTAGAGTATCACCAGTGAAGCCTTATGGTTCTGAGTTTTTCTTTGTTGGGAAGTTTTTAATTGCTGATTCAGTTTCCTTACTAGTTATTGGTCTGTCCTAGTTTTCTATTTTTTGCTGATCCAGTCTTGGTAAGTTGTATGTTTCAAGGAGTTTATTCATTTCTTCTAGATTATCTGTTTATTGGAGTACAATTGTTCATGGGTTGTCTTATAAACCTTTTTTACTTCTGTGATACTGACTGTAATGGACCCTCTTTCATTCTGATTTTACTTGAGTCTTTTTTTCTTAGTTAATCTAGCTAAGGGTTTGTCAATTTTGTTGATCTTTTAAATAAATGCAAATCCATAAATGTGACACACCACATGAACGGAGTGAAGGACAAAACCATACGATCATCATGTTAGCGGCAGAAAAAGTATTTGACCAAATTCAATGTCCATTCATGATACAAAATCTCAATAGATTAGGTATAGAAGGAATGTAGCACAACACAATAAAAGCCATAAATGAAAAGCTAACAGCTAACATGCTTAGTGGTGACAAGTTGAAAGCTTCTTCTGTAAGATCAGGAGCAAGACAAGGATGTCCACTCTTTCTACATCTATTTAATATAGTACTGGTGGTCTATAAAATTTATTTTATTTTATCTTTACTATTCTTAGTGTTTTGAGCTCATTTGTCTAAAAGTGTTAAGCAGTAATAATAATAAAACAAAGCTACTTTATTCTAAGTTTTACATTCTTTGTAACATTGGATTTACATTTAAACCATTTAAATAATTTTTTACACCAGGAAATTTGAATTCCTATTATGTAGATTTGTTTGCAAACCTGTGAAATCATAGTGAATATTACATAAAAATTGACTAACTCCTTTTTAAAATTTGTTTTGACAATAGATAGAGTACACTTGATTCTATTTCAAGTGCTACAAAATAAGCAGATGATGAAAATAAATGACAGCTCAGGGGAAGACTTCATCTTAGTTGGCTTCTCAGAATATCCCCAGGCTGAGTTCATCCTTTCTCTGTTTGTCTCCGGGTTCTACACCATGACATTCACAGGGAACACAGCCATCATCTTGGTCTCTCTGCTGGACTACCGGCTCCGCACCCCAATGTACTTCTTCCTCCGAAAGCTCTCATTTCTGGACATGTGTTTCACCACCTGCATTGTCCTTCAGATGCTGGTGAACATCTGGGGAGAGAGTAAGAAGGTCAGCTATGTAGGCTGCATGGTTCAGTATTCTGTAGCCTTGGCTCTTGGCTCCACAGAGTGTGTGCTTCTTGCTATCATGGCTGTGGACCGTTATGTTGCCGTCCGCTGGCCCCTTCACTATGTTACAATCATGCACCAACAGATCTGCCACTTTCTCGCAGCCTTGTCCTGGTTTTCTGGGTTAGCCAACTCTCTCTTTCACTCTTCACTAACCACCATTTTGCCTCTGTGTGGCCACCGCCGTGTGGACCATTTCTTTGTGAGGTCCTGCTCATTGTCAAGCTGTCCTGCGTGGACACCGGCCCAACTGAATTGAAGATGTTAATTGCTCGTGTGATCATCCTTGCCCTTCCAGTGTGCACCATCCTCACCTCCTATGCCTGCATTGCCAGGGCTGTGCTGAGGCTGCAGTCTGCTGAAGGTCAGCAGAAGGCCTTTGGGACTTGTGCCTCCCACCTGATGGTGGTCTTGCTGTTCTATGGAACCATCATGTTCATGTGTCTTCAGCTGAAGAGTAACTACTCTCAGATTCAGGGAAAGCTGCTTCCTCTTGTTTATACCATTGCTGCCCCCACCTAGAACCCACTAATCTATGCACTGAGGAACAAAGTTGTAAAGAGGGCAATTGGAAAATTGATCTGGAAGGATTCAGTTTAAGAAATTACGATCCCTGGAATTTGTGTCATAGAAATTATTTGGAGAGTGGATTAATGGCAGGAAGGATAATTTTCAGATTTCAGCCCAAATTGATTGACAAACAAATGAAGCAAGTACTAAATACAAGCTGAATGTAAAATTGTTGTCATCAACAGTGGTGATTGTAATCTTACAAAAATTGCATAATACAGGCATTCATTCACATTTTTGCTGTCCTCAAAATCTGTAATCAGGATATTTTGCAATACTTGTTGATTTTCTCAAGAGATTGTTAGAGCTGTAGTTTTCTGGGGAATACTGGACCTTCTGAAGGATACAACACATGGTAGATATGGAAACTGCTCTGAAATAGCTTACATATGAAGACGGATCATGTGGATCTAAATCTTTATTAACGTAAGATAGGAATTGAAACCTTACAGGAAAGAAAACTGAGTAAGGAATTCAGGGACAGTATCATACTTTGTTTTTGAGGGAACAAGGAAAACTGCCTGCAGTGAGACACTTGAGCTAGTTTCTAAATGCTGCTTAGGATTTGGGCAGGTGTGTGGCAGTGGGGTAGAAAACATTCGGTGGATCCAGACCAGGGTAAGTATATGTGTTGCTAATACAAAGGAGAATAATATTAAGTTTATATACCCATTTGTTCTCTCACATGGCAAGGGCTGAGTGTTTATGGTATGTTAAGGATTCATGACACCAATATAAATGTGGCAGTAATTTTATTCAGCATGTCATGATTTACAAACAGATTGTAAATAAATACAAAGGTAGACATAATATGGCCTCTGCTGCCATGGAGGGATGTGCAATGAGAAATGAGAACTGACCTTTTGGAAAGGTTTTGCCGGGTAGATGGCATGTGTTATGAGCCATAAAGAAGGTATTCCAATTTCTCATATTGGTTAAAGCAGAAGAAGTTCCAGGCAGAGAAAGTTTAAGGAGGACATTGTATGTGGGGATAGGCTCGTCAGTTACAATATTGGTGGTGAAGGGAGAGCACAGTGACAGTGAGGACAGGAGGTGGCAGAGACAGATGACGGCTGGATCATCAGGGCTTAGGGAAGTTGGGCTGAGCTGATGACTCTTGCAGTAGGAGATGGAAGTCATACGCAGGACTTCAAATAGACAGTGGCAGAATCCGGCTTATGCTAGAAAGGTGGTATGTGTGTATGGGAGGAGGATTCCAGAGAGGGACTGGCTGGGGTGAGGGTGAAGGCAGCTCTCAGGGAGAGCTGCAGCTGTGACAATGAGGGACCATGAAAGTCTGGTCTGACAATCATGAGGAAGATGGATAGGGTTTGATAATGAAGCTGGAGGTTGGAATGGGTGAAGGGGATTCCTGAAGCACCTGTTTTCTTCAGAATTTACCTCTGTTTAATTACTTTTAGCCTTAGAATGTAACATAGGCCATTATGAACATTTCCACACTCAGAAGAGGGAACTGAGGCACAGAAGGGTCTATAGAACTTCTCAGTTCATGTAGCTTCCAAATAAGGACTTGAGCCCAAACCTTTGTGCACCAGTTCCCCGTGCTCTTGGTCACTCCCATCTGCCGCCCTTCTACCTTGTCTTATCTCAGTACAGGGATTTGCCTACACAGTCGGTCTGCACCGTTGTTAAGTGCAATCCACAGTGCAAGTTCTTCCTAACGCCCAGCTCAGTTTCAGGAGGCTTATCGCTGCAGATGGTGACAGTGGACAATGGATCAAACATTGAACCCAGTGGTCCCCAGCCTTTTTGACACCAGGGGCCAATTTCATGGAACATAATTTTTCAGAGGATGAGGGTGGGGAGGAAGGATGCTTTCAGGATGATTCTTGTACATTTATTGTGCACTTTATTATTATATTGTAATAATTAATGAAGTAATTCTACAACTCACCATAAGGTAGAATCAGTGGGAGCCCTGAGCTTGTTTTCCTGCAACGAGACAGTCCCATCTGGGGGTGATGGGAGACAGTGACCCATCATCAGGCATTTATTCTCATAAAGCACATGCAGCCTGGATCCCTGGCCTGTGCAGCTCACAGTAGGGTTTGCGCTTCTATGAGAAGCTAATGCCCTGGCTAATCTGACAGGAGGTGGAACTCAGGCGGTGATGGGAGTGACGGGGAGCGGCTGTAAATACAGATGAAGCTTTGCTCCCAGCTGGCTGCTCACCACCTGCTGTGCAGCCCAGTTCCAAACAGGCCACACACTATCGATGGCCCAGGGGTTGGGGACCCCTGATTTAATCCATTTCCCATTTAGAAAGGAAAACTGTGTAGGGAAAAGAGAGATCAGACTGTTACTGTGTCTATGTAGAAAAGGAAGACATAAGAGACTCCATTTTGAAAAAGACCTGTACTTTGAACCATTGCTTTGCTGAGACGTTAATCTGTAGCTTTGCCCCAGCCACTTTGACCCAACTACTTTGACCCAACCTAGAGCTTACAAAAACATGTGTTGTATACAATCAAAGTTTAAAGGATCTAAGGCTGTGCAGGACGTGCCTTGTTAACAAAATGTTTACAAGCAGTATACTTAGTAAAAGTCATCGCCATTCTCTAGTCTCAATAAACCAAAGGCACAACGCACTGTAGAAAGCCGCAAGGACCTCTGCCCTTGAAAGTGAAGTATTGTCCAAAGTTTCTCCCCATGTGATAGTCTGAAATATAGCCTCATAAGAAAGACCTGACCGTCCCCCAGCCCGACACCTGTAAAAAGTCTGTGCTAAAGTAGATTAGTAAAAAAAGAAAGCCTCTTGCAGTTAAGATAGAAGAAGGCCACTGTCTCCTGCCTGCTCCTAAGAACTGAATGTCTCAGTATAAAACCCGACTGTACATTTGTTCAATTCTAAGATCAAAGAAAAACCGCCCGATAGTAAGAAGCAAGACATGTTTACAGCAATGCTGCTTTGTTATTCTTTACTCCGCTAAGATGTTTAAGTAGAAAGAGACATAAATCTGGCCTACGTCCACATCCAGGCACATTACCTTCCCTTAAACTTAATTATGACACAGATTCTTTTGCTCACATGTTTTTTGCTGACCTTCTTCTTATTATCACACTGCCCTCCTACTACATTCCTTTTTGCTGAAATAATAAAAATAATCAATAAAAACTGAAAGAACTCAGAAACCAGTGCCAGTGCAAGTCCTTAGTATGTTAAGTGCCAGTCCCCTAGGCCCACTGTTATTTCTCTATACTTTGTCTTTGTGTCTTACTTCTTTTCTCAGTCTCTCATCCCACCCGACTAGAAATACCCACAGATGTGAAGAGGCAGGCCACCACTTCAAAGTACAGCTCGCTGGCAGCACAGTGTTCTCGGGGAACACAGGAAATGGGTTGAACTGTGAATAAACGATTCCTCATTTCTTTATGGTCTTTTGCAGCAAGATGTCAACAGCTGTCTTTATTTTCTTACATTTCCCAGATAACTCCTTGGATCAGCAGGAATCTACGCACAGATTTAGAGCGCATATGCGCCCTGATCCTAATTTGCCCCCTGAAGAGCAGCGACGTAGAGGTACTGTGGAAATTCAGTTACTCACCCTCGCAAGCATAAGGATTCCACATTCTTCAGTGTCCCACACTTCAGACCACTCTGACGTTGCTACACTGTATCTTCTTTATTTCATGTGTGCAAATTGACTAGTGTAGCACTAGTCAGTCACTAGTGACTGTATTTCCGCTTCAAGTTTGGTTCACTTTTAATAGTAAAGAACATCTCAATGCAAGGTTTAGATATTTCGCTGATTGTTAGACATTGGCTAAAATGGAACTCTTCCTGAGATCATGTTGCTGCGTTTTCAAACAAATGGAGATCATGTGAAACTTGTAAATTAACATAAAAATTGAAATAGTACAGAAAGTTCCCATATACCCTCCCCCCTCAGTATCTTTTTTGTGATCACATCTTACATGAATGTGGTGCATTTGTTATAGTGGCTGAAGCAATAGTGATATCATCTTCTTCTTAATGAACGTCTAGAGTTTGCAGTAAGGCTCACCCGGTGTTGTTCAGCCTACGGATTTTGACAAACTCATAATGTCATTCATCACCCAGACAGAAAAGTTTCACACTCAAAACATGAGTAAAATAAAATATCATTTATTTTACTGCCTCTGTCGATTTTCTTTCCCCAGATTCTATAGAATTGGAATCATAAAGTATGCAGTCACTTAGGACTAACTGATTTCACTTAGCAATATGCATGCAAGATTTTTCCTATCTTTTTTAGCTTAACGGCTTACTAAGTTTTATCAGTGAATCATGTTCCACTGGGTTCCTGTAACAATGTGGGTGGCTGCACTCACTGCCTGAAGAGCATCTCAGCTGCTTCCCGTTCAGGTGATTGTGAATACAGCTGCCCTCATTCTCGTGCAGATTTTGCAATGGGCATAATTTTAAAATGTAACTGGGTAAATGTTTAGAATTTTAATCAGCTGTGTATATAATAAGACTATGTTTTCCCTTGTAAGAATTAGGTAGAATTCAGTAAAATCATTTTTAAAAATGCATTTTTAAAAAAGTTCTTATTGATTCAATTTCTGTAATAGATATAAGCCTACTCAGATTATCTGAGTCTCCTTTGGGTACTTATGATATAGTTTCTGCCTTTGAAGGAATTTGTTAGTTTTATCTAAGCTGTCAAATTTGTGAGCATAGATTTATGCTAAGTATTCTTTTATTATCTGCTTGATATTAATGGGATCAACAGGAATGATTCTTCCTTTTATTTATATTATTTGTAAATTGTGTCTCCTAGCTTTTCTTGATGGTTAGCCTGGCTGGAGGTTTATCAATTCTATTTATCTTTCCTATGAAGCAGCCCTTGGTTTTGTTTATCATTTCTATTATAATGATTTCTGTAAATAATTTTTTGTTCTATTTTTATATCTGGTTTACATTACACTATAGTTTTTTCTGTAGCTTCCTAAGGTGGAAGGTAAGAAAACTGAATTAATATTGTTTTTAGTTTTGTTCGTTTGTTTTTTTAAGACAAAGTCTTGCTCTGTTGCCAAGGCTGGAGTGCAATGGCACGATCTTGACTCACAGCAACCTCCACCTCCCAGGTTCAAGTGATTCTCCCATCTCAGCCTCCCTAGAAGCTGCGATTGCAGGTGCCCGCCACCATGCCCGCCTAATTTTTGTATTTTTAGTAGGGACGGGGTTTCACAGTGTTGGTCAGGCTTGTCTCAAACTCCTGACCTCAGGTGATCCACCTTGCCTTGGCCTCCCAAAGTGCTAGGATTACAGTGCGAGCCACTGCACCCGGCCTGTTTTTAGTTTTCTGTACAGCATTGTGAATAGAACTAATGCTCCGAAGTGTGCACTTAATAATTAAAATAATACATATTGTGTATTTCTCACAATAATGCTTTAAAATCCAATAATATCAGGTGACCGAAGCAGGAGAATCGCTCGATCCCAGGAGGCAGAGGTGGCAGTGAGCCGAGATCACACCACTGCACTCCAGCCTGGGCAACAGAGTGAGACTCTGTCTCAAAAAAAAAAAAAAATCCAATAATAGAGATGATAAGTGCAGAAGGAGCATATATAGATTCAGGAATGTTAAACATGGTAACTTGTTTTAAAATAGAGGACATTTTCCAGGCCTCTTTCTGTGAGGAGACCCTGTCCTGGAGTGATGTCGTGCATTTCTGTGCTGCCTGTGTAAACACTGCCTACTTCACAGTGATGAGGGCGGCTTAGCCAGGGACCCGAGGCTGTGTCTCCCAGGGCTCTCCTGATGGCGTCCATTGCCTGCCCTTCACCACCAAGGAGGGTGGCCCAGCAGCAGCTCCGCCCGTGCTCTCACCCACCTCCTCCACACACGCCAGTCCTGTGTCCTCAGCACCCAAGGCTGCCAGAGGTCCTTCAGCAGCTCCCACGGCTGACAGTGACTCTATGTTTCCTAGGCTTCTTCTACCGCCAGAATTGGCGGTTTCCCTCGCTGGATTCTTGGGACCTGATCCAGGCAGCACACTCGGTAAAGTCTTCTTTCTTTGTCTGAGATGGGAATTTTATTTCTTTTGGTTTCTTTCTATTTTCTCTGAATTAAGATATGTAATTCTTACCACGGACTTTACAGATGAGCCACAGAATTTCTTGGTGGGCAGAGGTATGTGAGAGCCCATTCATTGCCAACTTGGAACTTGTTCCAGATGGCACTCATAGATGACAGTGTTAGTGATAAACTGCATGGCAGAGAGCATTGTCCTCAGGAGAAATGCATTCTTGAAAACAGCGGTGACTTTGCAACCAAAAATCATTTTTGAAAATCTCATACAACACTCTTGTACATTTCCTCAAGTGTCTTCTAGGCTTTATTTGGGGGCCATTGCCTCGAGCACTATCTCCCAACCAGTTTTCTAATGTCACCAAGTGAAGAAAAGACCCATGAACACAGGACACAGCATGGTCTGAGGCTCACGGTGTTTTCCTTTCTCTCTGCAGACACACTCAGCGATTCAGCTCTAACGTGCGTACTCTGGGATCTCCCATTTAATAAGGAAAAATCTTAGCTTTGAGAAAGGTGACACTTTCCTCCCTACTTTTGCTGGAGAACTACCCTGGTTTGAGCCTCCTGCTGGAAATGAGGTTTGGGCAGTTTGGTGTAAAGAAATGAAGAGTTTAGTCAACAACTGTGGCCATCCACTGCAGTTCCCAGAAGCAGTGATGTCATTTAAATAGGAATAGGGGTGCATCAGGGTGGGGAGATATGGAGGAGAGAGTCCGTGTGGAGTGATGGTGAATGCCTTTGGGAGTGTGTGTGCATTTCTCTAGAAAGCATGCTCCTCTGTGCAAAGCACAACCCAAGGATCAATGTTCTAGAAACAAAATTCCATCCCCGCATCAGTCAACACTTCATCCTTCATCACAGCTGTACCTGAAGGTTAGTGTAACATACCCCGTCCTCAGATTGGAGATGGTGGAGAGATGAATTTCCCAAGCTCTGAATTTGTATTCTTGATTTTTCTATCAGGATTTTTGCCTTAAATATTTTCCTCTATTTAGAAAAATGTCCCATTTCCCATGCCAATTTTATGCACTCTTTTCCATAGAATAGATCCAGAAGGAACACAGCAACACTGCCTTCACCAGATCGGGAGAATCTTGATACCAAGTGCGGTGTGAGACAGCCCATGAGAGGGGGATTACAGGCCAAAGTCTTCTGAATAGAGACATCCAAACCTGAAACCAAATATTAGAGCATACTAAATGCAGAGATTGCTAAAAAAATAATGAGTTATTTCATGATTTGAAACAGAATTTTGCCTAGTTTAAAGGTTTTGGGGATTGTTTTAAAGAAAAATTTGAAAGATAAATACAACTGAATGAATGTAAACAGTTATAAAATAGAAAAAGTTATGAGGTTATAAAAGGCTTATGAAACATAAATGTTTTATAACCTCATAATTTCTAATCACAATCAAAACCGAGATAGATTTGTTTATAGGGTCTTATTAAAACTAGCTACAATATTAAACATACGCTAATATCAAACCAAAGGTTAAAAAGTAAGCTGTTCGTAAGATATCAATTTGTTCTCAATGAGAATACAAGAGGTAACAATTTTTCATTCTGAAATCTATTTCTTTCTTTTTTTTTTTTGTTTGAGACGGGGTCTCCCTCTTCTCCTTCTGTTGCCCAGGCTGGAGTGCAATGGCACAATCTTGGCTCAGCACAACCTCCACCTCCTTCAAATTTTCATCAGCTCCATCAGCTTCCCCCAGGTTCTAATTCTGTCCCTGTAATACCAAAATGCTTGCCTTAAAGGTCTAAAAAGCCAACATTTGTCTCAGCTGTCACATGGTTTTGTGCTCTTGGCTTTTGATCTATCTGGGTTGTCTCCTGCGAGCAGGTGAGGGAGCTCGCTTCCTGCTCACAGTCCTCCTCCTCAGGGCCCCTGCTCATGGCCTGGGGCACACTTTACCTGTGTCTCATTAACCTCGAGGGCCCTGCCCATCAGGGTGGCTTCCAGGTCATTCGGCGGCCTTCATCGAGCGAGCGCTGCCAGCTCTCAGGTAGCTGCTCAGGTCGGCCGTCAGCAAGATGGATGGGTCGTGGATAGAATTCATCAAACCACTGATGCACCAGCCCCGATGGCCACATTTTCAGTTAACTTCCGTTAACTGCTCCTGCAGGGTTGGTCAGTTGCAGGAAGGTTTTTTCCTGGCACAGCCGTTAAGTGGCAGTTGGCTTGGAACGTCCTGAGTTCTGAGCCAGCCTGGCGGCCAAACAGACCCCCCTGGTCCCTTGGGATGGTCACTGGTCATGTGCTCACCACAAAGCAAGGTCAGGGGCCGGAGGTTTCTGTTTGAATGATTGAAGCTCTTCTCTGGACTTAGCCACCTCCAGGCATCCACCTTCCTGAAGAGACCTGGGGCAGGAGGATCGAGAAAGGGAGTGAAAAGAGCCCCTGGTTCAGGGTCCAGTCCATGATTTGGAGGTCTCAGGCGTTCAGGGACCTCTGTCCCCAGAAAACCAACTACATTCTTGTCCCAGATCCATCACTCCCGAGTGCTGTGACTCTGGGCAGGTCACTTCAAATCCCTCATTTCACTTCCCAGAGCTGTCAACTCTGGGTGGCAGCCCCTGCCCTGCCCATCCCTCCAGGCTGATGTGGGCACCACAGGAAAGAACAGAAACTCTCCCCATGGCTCTGAAGCATAGGCCCATGTGAAGGAGGAAGAACGTCCCTTCCCCCACTGCCCCAGAGCCCCCCGAGCAGCTTCTCTATATTCACCACCACCAAGAGCCTGATCTCTTTCTTTTCTTTTCTTTTTTCTTTTTTGAGAGGAAGTCTCGCTTTTGTCACTCAGGCTGGAGTGCAATGGAATGATCTCAGCTCACTGCAACTGCTGGAGTAACTTGGCTTAGCAAGAAATTATACCAGGGCTTTGTGACAAATTCAGTGCAGTAGCCCATGGCATTAACCTTCCACTCATTGCCGAGGTCACATGTGCCTCTTCCATTTAAAAGACCAAGAGCTTGGTAAATTCGACTCTGCACCATGTCCATCTGAGGTCTGGGGATAGTAAACTTATCTTTGGGCACAGCTGAGGTGGAGGATGAATGGGTTGATTTATGCAAACTGTGCAGTGCTGATGGAATTTTCCTTGAACATTGATCCTTGTGTTGTGCTTTCAACATGGGAGTATGTTTTCTGGGGAAATGCACACACACTCCCAAAGACATCCACAATCATTCCATAAGGACTCTCTCCTCTGTCCCTCCCAACCCTGATGTACCACCGCACCTTACATGACACTGCTGCTTCCAGGGATGACAGTAGCATGGTTAGGGTTGTTTACTGGACTCTCAGTATTTTCTTAAACCAAACTTCCCAAATCTCATTTCTGGCAGGAAGCTCAAACCAGAGTGGCTCTTGAGCAAAGGCAGGCAAAACAGCGCCACCTTTGCCACACTAAGATTTCGAACCTAAACAAAGAGATGATCCCAGAATACGTACTGTTTGCCAGTGTGTCTGGGTCCCCCTGCATCTAGAGAAAAATAAAACACTATGAGGGTCAGACCAGGCTGTGTCCTGCATGCACAGGTCTTTTCTTCACTTGTTGATGTTAAAAAAACAGATGGTAAATAGTGGTTGAGACAATGGCCCCGGTATCTAGAAGATATGCATGGAAAGGCACAAGATTTCTGTGCAAGGTTTTCAATTGTTTTTGTTTGACAATTCCAAATACTTCTCAACAAGAAGGCATTTCTCTTGAGGAAAATGTCTGCTGACATACAGTTTGTAAATGTGGATGCCATGTGAAACCATTTTTTAGTTGATAAAGAACTCTGACATTTGCACACCAAGAAATTCTGTCAGTCACCTATAGTGTACACGGTTAAGGTTTAGACATGTTAATTCAGTTGAAACAGAGAGACACCAAGAGAAATAAAATTTCCATTTCAGAGGAAAGAAGACGTCTTTACCATGTGAACCCCTGTGGCTTCCTCAGAGGACGTCTGCCCTGGCATATCTTCCTCCAGGTCATGCTGGTCACCTGGGAAACAGAGTCGCTATAAGCACATGAGCTCCACTGAGTGAATCCCTCAGGTGGTCTTGGAGCTCTGGACACGGGGCTGGCGTGTGTGGAAAGGTGTGTTCACAGCACAGACTCAGCTGCTGCCGGCACTCAATAAATGCCAAGGACAGCTACCTCCCTGGAGTCCAAAGAGGACAGCAGTCACCATCGTGGCAGTGCAGTCTCAGTTCCAGACCGAAATTCCTTCTTCCCAACATGTGGAGCAGGGGACCCAGTGTGGGGTGCAGGGCCTCTGCAGACACCTCTCCTCCTGGGCCCCCAGCCAGGAAGGGTGGCCTGGAGGAGCAGCAGGAGGAGGAGCAGAGATGGGAGTCAGCCCTGGCCTCGGAGGCGCCACCATCTCTGCCCACACAGGCACCGCCCTCTCTTCCTCGAGGTTCTTCCTCCAACACCCGGCCTGAGCCACCCACTGGAGAACACGGACATCCCTCTCCCCATTGTGTGCGGGGAAACGGAGGCCCAGCACTCGCATCTCACACTCATGGTGGAACTGTGACCGGGACCCAAGTCTCCTGACACCCCTACAATGACATGCAGCCCTCTGCCTGGGTGGGGAGGGGGTCCGGGCACAGCTGAGGTTTGGGGGAAGGAGGTCTTCTGGGAATGTTCCCAGGGTTCCCGAGGATGGTGGTGACTCAATGCCCACGGGAGAAATCAGATGATCCCACGCCCTCCTCGAAAGGGACGGGGGGCTCAGGCACTGATGAAGATGCCTCTGGATGAAGCTGCTTGATGGTTTGGGCAGAAATGCTTAAACTCAGGACACTAAAAATGGGACAGGCTGTTGGGTTTTCCAAATGTAGACAACGGGCAGAGGGCTCAAAGAGATGCCATTCCAATGAGAGGCAACTGGCCAGCAAGCCCAGGAAAAGGTGCCCGGCAGCACTGTCGCCAGGGAAAGGCAAGCCAGAGCCACAGGGAGATGATGCCGTGCAACCACTGGATGGCCAGAGTTAGACACACACCAGAGAATAACACGGGGCGGGGAGGACGGGATAGACCCCTGTGCACTGCTGTTGGGAATGGAACATGACTCAACCACTGTGGAAAACAGCGCAGCAGTTCCTCAAAAAACAAAAGAATTACCCAGCAATGTCACGCCTGGGGCCTAGTTACGTACCCAAGAGAACTGAGAGCAGAGACTCAGATATTTGTAACGGGAATGTCCCTGACAGCACTTTTCGTAATCGCCAAAGGGTGGAAGGCACCCACATGTCCGTCCCCAGATGAACGGGTGATGGAACACTATTCACCCCTCTCAGGAACGGGGCCTGTTGCATGCCACAGTGTGGAGGAGCCCAGAAGACCTCATGCTGAGTGACAGAAGCCAGACAAAGGTCCAGGTGAAATGTCCCGAAGAGGCGAGGCCACAGAGACAGAACCCAGGGGCCGGGGGAGTGGGGAGCAAGGAGCAACTGTTGAATACGTATGGGGTTTCCTTTTGGGGCCGTGGAAATGTCTTGGAACTACACAGAGGCGATGCCTGTGCTATGCCGTGATGGTGCCGAATGCCACAAATCTCCCACTGAAAAATGGATAATTTTATGTTACGTAAATTTCATCTCAATAATAAAAGTAAACTGTAACTATTTGCCACCCTGTTTCCCCTCCCTGCCCCCCAGCTGCTGGTCCCACCACCAGCCCCTGCTGTGCGGCCAGGACAAGGGCAGAAGAGCCGGTGTGCAGGAGTGTGTGCAGGTGCACCCCCGAGCACCTCCAGCCCCCTGTCCTCTGTACTCCAAGCCTCCCTTGAGGTGTGTGGGCAGCAAGCCACCCAGGTGCCGAGGCAAGAGACCGAGGGCACAAGCTGTTACAGTATAATAAAATATATAAAATAACAAGAGTTATACTAGATCTAGATCATAGACATGATTATATATGAATATCATTAATCATTAGTTTGTAGCAATTTCTCTTTATTCCAATATTATAATAATCCTTGCTCTATAATCATAACTTAGGAAAAACCAGGCCATACAGAGATAGGAGCTGAGGGGACATAGTGAGAAGTGATCAGAAGACAAGAGTGCGAGCCTTCTGTCACGCCCGGACAGGGCCACCAGAGGACTCCTTGGTCTAGTGGTAACTCCAGCTTCTGGGAAGACACCATTGCCAGGCAGACTGTGGTCTAGCGGTAGCGTCAGTGTCAAGGAAAAACACCCGCTACTTAGCAGACTGGGAAAGGGAGTCTCCCTTTCCCCAGCAGAGTCACAATTCTGTACCAAAGTCTTAACTGTTTTTTATACCAAACTGCCTAAAACCTCATTTCTGTTAGGAAGCTCCAGAGAAATTCTCCACCAAATGCAGGGTAAAAAGTGCCACCTTTCTGAAAAACCCAGAGAACTGACCACAGGGTCATCCAGTAGAGGACAGAGGTGAAGCCTGGGGCCTGCTGGCTTCGGCAACTACAGGGAGAGGAGACAGCCCTGCCTGGGTGTGGGCTCAGGATCCAAAACATCAGGCAGCAAAAAGGAGCTCCTTGCCCAGCACAGGGGAAATGGGGCCACCCCCTGAGGTCCCACAAAGGGAGGTGGAGGTGGAGTGGGGTGCAAGGCAGGCCCTGGTCCTAGCTTCTCTCAGTTCCTCGGGTGAGGAGTCTGCAGGGGGCTCTGTCTCCCTTCCTTGCCTTCTCTTAGTCAACTCTCTGTGAGCCTCAGTTTCCCCAGCTGTAAACTTCTCCGTCTCAGAAGGAGGGGTTGTAAGAATTAAAGAAAGAGGAGAGAAACATGAAGGGTGGCTCAACAATCAACAGGTTTATTTCAAACCTGGGAGGGACTTCTGTCCGAGTTGGGTCAGAACCCGCACTCCCTTACAGACTGAGTTTTTAAGGATTCAGGGTGGGAGAGTTTATCAGAGGCTTGGACTGCTCCTGTGTCTCTTTGTTGTGCTTACCTGGGAGGGAGAGTTGTGTGTCTGTTCCCATACATCTTTCTGCAGCTGCACGCATAGCCCCCAAATCTGCTTTTAGCTTCCCTATCTTAGTGCACCTGCAGGGAAAGGAATGTGCTTATTAAGGCCCACTGGTTTACTGGGGCCTGTTGTATGAGGGTGAAGTTTGGCAGTTACCTGAGAGGCTTTCCCCCCACCTCCCCCTGTACCCGAGCTGTCTTATCTGTCTTATGTGTGTTTTACTGCCTGCTCTTTCTGGTTGTTGCATGTAGTTAGAAAAGAAGTGATTTTCTTGAAATGCATGGGGCTAGAAAGAGAGCTGGAACTTAAAGTGGTGGTGTTTGTCCGAGATGACGGTGCTCCTGCTCTGTCAAGGGTGAAGACAGAAAGAGGGTGTACATGGGAGGATGGAGCCCAGCGCCAGGAAACAGGCAGCACTCAGTGAGTCCAATCCATTGTCTTACTCGGGCCTCCCTAGACCTGGGCTCCACCCTCACCACCCCACCCTGTTGAGGGCCGCAGGCTCTCTGGGAGCTGGAGGAGGGCACGTCACCATGTGGTCAGAGCTCCCTGGCCCTGCCCACAGGTGCCCTTGGAGAGCCTGGGGTGGCTGTTATAAAGACCCAGGCTCGGAGGCCGGGCACGGTGGCTCATGCCTGTAATCCCAGCACTTTGGGAGGCCGAGGCTGGCAGATCGTGAGGTCAGGAGATCGGGACCTTCCTGGCTAACATGGTGAAACCTTGTTTCTACTAAAAATACAAAAAATTAGCCGGGCGTGGTGGCGGGCTCCTGTAGTCCCAGCTACTCAGGAGGCTGAGGCAGCAGAATGGCGTGAACCTGGGAGGCGGAGCTTGCAGTGAGCCGAAATCGCACCACTGCACTCCAGCCTGGGTGACAGAGCAAGACTCTCTCTCAAAAATAAATAAATAAAATAAAAATAAAAACAGCAATTTTGGTAAAAATGAAGAGAACTTGAAACCCTTGTACATTGCTGCTGGGAATGTAAAATAGCATAGCCACTGTAGAAAACATTCTGCTATTTTTTCAAAAAGTTAAACATAAAACTATCACATGATCCAGTAATTCCACTTTTTTTTTTTTTTTTTTTTTTTTGAGCTAGAGGCTCGCTCTGTCGTCCAGGCTGGAGTGCAATGGCACAATCTCTGCTCACTGCAACCTCCACTGCCTGGGTTCAAGCGATTCTCCTGTCTCAGCCTCCTGAGTAGCTGGGAGCATAGGCGCACACCACCATGCCCGGCTAATTTTTGTATTTTTAGTAGAGACAGGGTTTTACCATATTGGTCAGGCTGGTCTCGATCTCCTGACCTCAGGTGATCCGCCCACCTCGGCCTCCCAAAGTGCTAGGATTACAAGCGTGAGCCACCGCGCCCGGCCCAACTCCACTTCTGAGTACTTACTGAAAGGAATTGCAAGTAGTGACTAGAATAGATATTCATACATCAGTGTTCATATAAGCATTAGTCACAGTAACCAAGAGGTGGAAGCAACCCAAATGTCCAGCAGCAAATGAATGGACAAACAAAATGTAGTATATGCATACAATAGAAGATTATCCAGCTTTAAAAAGGAATGAAATTCTGGCCAGGTGCGGTGGCTCACACCTGTAATCCCAGCATTTTGGAAGGCCAAGGTGGGCAGATCACTTGAGGCCAGAAGTTTGAGACCAGCCTGGCCAACATGGCGAAACCCCCTATCTACTAAAAATACAAAAGTTAGCTGGGAGTGGTGGCACATGCATGTAATCCGAGTTACTCGGATGGCTGAGGCACGAAAATCACTTGTACCTGGGAAACGGAGGTTTCGGTGAGCCAAGATCACGCCACTGCACTCCAGCCTGGGCAACAGAGTGAGACTCTGTCTCAAAAAAAAAAAAAAAAAAAAAAGAGGAATGAAATTCTGATACATGCTATAACATGGATGAACGCTGAAGTCACTACACTAAGGGGAATAAGCCAGACGCACAAGTACCAACATTGTATATGATTCTACTTATATGAAGTGCCTGGAGTAGTCAAATTCACAGAGACAGAAAGAATGGTCGGGCAAGACGCTGCAGGGAGGGATGGCTTGGGAGTTACTGTTTAGTGGGTATAGGGTCAGTTTTGTTCTAGAGATAGGTGGTGTCAGTTGCACAACAATGTGAAATGTACTTAAGACAACTAAACTGTACATTTAAGAATTATTGGCCGGGCGCAGTGGCTCATGCCTGTAATCCCAGCACTTTGGGAGGCCGAGGCGGGCAGATCACGAGGTCAGGAGATGGAGGCCATCCTGGCTAACACGGTGAAACCCTATCTCTACTAAAAATACAAAAAATTAGCCGGGTGTGATGGCGGGCGCCTGTAGTCCCAGCTACTCGGGAGGCTGAGGCAGGAGAATGGCGTGAACCCGGGAGGCAGAGCTTGCAGTGAGCCGAGATTGTGCCACTGCACTCCAGCCTGGATGACAGTGCGAGACTCCATCTCAAAAAAAAAAAAAGAATCATTAAGGTTGGGCCTGATGTGATGGCTCATGCCTATGGTCCCAGCAATTTGGGAGGCCGAGATGGGAGGATCGCTTGAGGCCAGAGTTCAAGACCAGCCTGGGCAACACAGCGAGATCCCATCTCTACAAAAAAATTTAAAACTTAGCTGCCGGGCACAGTGGCTCACACCTGTAATTCCCACACTTTGGGAGGTCGAGGTGGGCAGATCACCTGAGGTCGGGAGTTCAAGACTAACCTGACCAACATGGAGAAGCCCTGTCTCTACTAAAAATACAAAATTAGCTGGGCATGGTGGTTCAAGCCTGTAGTCCCAGCTACTCAGGAGGCTGAGGCAGGAGAATCGCTTGAACCGGAGAGGCGGAGGTTGCGTTGAGCCAAGATCGCACCATTGCATTCCAGCCTGGGCAACAAGAACAAAACTCTGTCTCCAAAAAATAAAAAATAAAAAAAATAAAGAATGACAAGCCACCAACTGGAAAAAAATATTTATAAAATACGTATCTGATAAATGACTTGTATCCAAAATATACCAAGAACTCTTCAAATTCAAAAATAAAGAGCAACCCAAGTTTAAAATGGGCAAAAGATGGCTGGGTGCAGTGGCTCATGCCTGTAATCCCAGCATTTTGAGAGGCCAAGGCAGGCAGCTCACTTGAGGTCAGGAGTTCGAGACCCGCCTGGCCAGCATAGTGAAACCTGATCTCTACTAAAAATACAAAAAATAGCCAGGCATGGTGGCAGGCGCCTGTAATCAATCCCAGGTACTTGGGAGGCTGAGGCAGGAGAATCAGTTGAAGCCGGGAGGCAGAGTTTGCAAAAAAAAAAAAAAAAAAAAAAAAGCCACCACCACCAGAAATAAAATAAGCAAAAGGTCTGAACAGATACCTCACCAAAAATAAATATATATTGATGAAAAGGTGATCGACGTGATATGTCATTAGAGAATTGCAAATTCAAACAATTAAAACAAAAATACTACACAGCTATTAGAAGAGATAAAATCCAAAACACTGACAACACCAAATGCTGGCAAGGATGTGGAACAGCAAAGAACTCCCATTCATTGCTGCTGGGAATGGAACATGGTACAGCCCCTTTGGAAGACAACTGAGAGTTTCTTACAGAGCTCAACATACTCTTACCATACGAGCCACAATCACACCCCTTGGTATTTACCCAAATGAGTTGAAAACATATTTACACAAAAACTTGTACATGAATATTTAGAGCAGCTTTATTCATAATTATCAAAACTTGGAAGAAAACATGTTCTTCAGTAGGTGAATGGACACATAGTGACACATCCAGACAATGGAATATTATTCAGCACTACGAAGAAATGGTCTATCAAGTGACAGAAACACAGAAGGAACTTTCAGTGCATATTATTAAGTGAAAGAAGCCAGTCTGTAAAGGCCACATACTGTTTTACTCCAAACGTGACATCCTGGAAAAGGCAAAACTAGGCAGCATAAGGAATTTTTAGGGTAGTGAAACATCCTTTATGACTGTAATGGTGGATACACGTCATCATGCATCTGTCAAAACCCATAAAACGTACAACCCAAGGAGTCAACCCTGACATAAAGGATGGACTTTGGTGAATTATAATGTACTGATACTGGCTCAGTAATTCGAATATGTACCCCACTAACGAAAGATGTTCATAAAGAGAAAACCGTGAGGGGAGGGGTATGTGGAAACTGTACTTTCAGCTCAGTTTTTCTATAAACCTAAAACTGCTCAAAAAAGGCATATTAATTGTTTTAAATATCCTAATAGAGGATCAGAGGATGGGCAAACAAAGCCTGGGCAAAACATGGCAGAAAAAGCACAAAGTACAACAAAAAAATAAATCTTTTTCCAGTAAGTAGTTGTTGTTGCTGTAAGTAACTGGTGCAGTGATTCTAGTTGGTGGCTAGCGATTCCAGTTGGTGGCTAGTGATTCCAGTGGGTGACTAGTGATTCCAGTTGGTGACTAGTGATTCCGGCTGGTGACTAGCGATTCCAGCTGGTGACTAGCGATTCTAGTTGGTGGCTAGCGATTCCAGTTGGTGGCTAGCGATTCCAGTTGGTGACTAGCGATTCCAGTTGGTGGCTAGTGATTCCAGTTGGTGACTAGTGATTCCAGCTGGTGACTAGCGATTCCAGTTGGTGGCTAGCGATTCCAGTCGGTGACTAGTGATTCCAGTCGGTGGCTAGTGATTCCAGTTGGTGAATAGTGATTCCAGTTGGTGACTAGTGATTCCGGCTGGTGACTAGTGATTCCAGCTGGTGACTAGTGATTCTAGTTGGTGGCTAGCGATTCCAGTTGGTGACTACTGATTCCAGTCGGTGACTAGTGATTCTAGTTGGTGGCTAGTGATTCCAGTTGGTGACTAGTTATTCCAGTTGGTGACTAGTGATTCCGGCTGGTGACTAGTGATTCCAGCTGGTGACTAGTGATTCTAGTTGGTGACTGAGATTTACAGGTTGAAGGGGGGGATCAAGTAGAAGCTGGAGGATGGTCTGAAAGAGGGAGAGGGGCGTTGTTCAGGCAGAAGTGGGTTGGATCCTGACTCTACCACTCACTATGCCACCTGTCAAAGAGAAACAAAATCAGGCTCCAATTACAGGGGTAAGGGAAGATTTTCATCAGTACCAACTGTTGCACTGGGGAAGAGTCCAGCCTGAGCTGGACTGAACTTGGATTTGTAGAGGTGACTTTGAGTTTCAAAGGGAGAATGAGGGAATAAGGAAGGGGTTGGGGGGCGCTCAGCAGAGTCAGGAAGGTGACAAATTGCAAAGGGTTGGTTGAGTGCTGTTGGCCCCAGTGCTGCTCCCGGTCTGGAAACTGTCATCCTCCCAGAGGGACGGGAGACAGAGGCCTTGTCCCAGGTGCCAGCCAGAACAAACTACATCCCTTGGGCAGCATCCAGTTTTCTCAGGCAGGCAACTAAGGGGCGCCCGCGTTATCTGAGGGGTGTGGCCTCCAGCGCTGGTAACTGTTAGTGTCTGCTCAGGTCTCCATAGGCCAAGGCTGGGTGGGGCCTGGTGGAGAACGGGGCTCAGAGGGGCCTGGCTGGAGTCCGGTCCAGGAGGTTCTTTGTCAAGAGAGCGAGTTAACCGGGCCCTGGGAGCCTCCGTTTTTCCTCCCGCATCTGTGAGGAGCAGGAGATGACGTGATCCAGGAGCCTCCCCGCTCCACGAGCGCGGTCCTAGCGGAGGCTGGTCCCTGCCGGTTCCTCGCCACCCTGATGGCCCCCGCCCTGGGAATCCTCCGACCTGGGAGCACCCAGGAAAGACCTCGCGTTCGCACCCGCGCGGGCCCAGGCGCGCCCCGCCGCCTTCTCCCCGCGCCCGGGAACAGGAGCCAGAGGGGCGCGGGGCTGCGGCGCAGCGGAGCCGCGGTCAGGCGGCCCAGGCGGGGCTAGAACAGTGGCCGCGGTGTCCCGGGCCCGCCGCCCGCTCCCCACCCGCAGCCACATCGCGCACACGCGGGCTCTGCGGCTGCCCTTTCTGATAAAGGAGCTCGTCCGGCGCCCGGACTGCGCGCACCGGAGGCCCTGAAGGAGCGGCTCCTGGAGCGCGTCCTGCGCCGGAGTCCTGGAGGATGCCACAGATCCGGAGGGGGTGCCGGGGTCCTGTCCCAGACTCGCCTTAACGCTGCGAGGACAACGACCCCCCAGCCCGCCTCAGGCAGGAGGCGCAGTGGTCCCCTCTGCAAGCTGCAGATTCCCCACCCTGGCTCCAACTGACCACAGGGGAAACCGAGCTGGAAGCGACAAAAACGCCTTAAAAACCCGAGTTCCCGCCTCAGGGTATTGATGCCCTTTACTGATCGTAAAGCCGGCGTGGAACTTTGCAGCCTTGGCTCAGAAACGCAGCTGAGTGTCCTGGAGCAGGTGCGACCAGAGGACATTGGCAGGGGAGCAGGGCCTCCTGGTGGTCAGCGCATGCTGGCCTCAGTGACGGGAGAACCTTAAGGCTGGTGACATTCAGCAGCCAAGCAGGCAAATCAGAGGAGGCTCGGGGTGTGCAGGGCTAATGGGCAAACTGGAGCAATGGAATAATGTCTTTCCTCTCAGACAGGGAAACGTTTTAAAAATAGATAACACCAGGCAGGGCGCGATGGCTCACGCCTGTAATCCCAGCACTTTGGGAGGCCGAGGCCAGCGGATCACGAGGTCAGGAGATCGAGACCATCCTGGCCAACATGGTGAAACCCCATCTCTACTAAAAATACAAAAAACTAGCCGGGCGTGGTGGCGGGGGCCTGTAGTCCCAGCTACTCGGGAGGCTGAGGCAGGAGAATGGTGTGAACCCGGGAGGCGGAGCTTGCAGTGAGCCAAGATCACACCACTGCACTCCAGCCTGGGCGACAGGTGTGACTCCCTCTCAAAAAAATAAAAAATAAAAAATAAAATAACACTCAGGGCTGGCGGGGGCACACGGAAACTGGCACTGCCATGAACTGCCAGAGGAGAAAGGAAAGTGGATGCTGGCCCTGGGAGAGTTTTCTTGGTTTGTTTTGTTTTGTTTTTTGGGTTTTTGTTGTTGTTGTTGTTGTTTTTGCAGAGGCAGGGTCTCACTATGTTGCTTAGGTTGGTCTCGAACTCCTATCCTCAAGCAATCCTTGTGCCTTGAGTTCCCAAAGTGCTGGGTTACAGGCGTGAGCCACCAGGCCCGGTCCCTGAGAGCCTTTGGGAACTAGGAATCAAAAGTCTTTCTCTGGGGTGGGGCAGGGGGTGCGGTGTACATGTGCAGGGGTTTCGAAACTTTGTGGCTTGGCCGTGGATCTCATGGCGTGAGAGTCTCACCTCAGTTTCATGGGCGAGATTGGCCCTTGTGGAGTTTGAGTCCAACCCAGAAGAAACAAGGAAGCCTGGGTCTTCTCCAAGTGTTGCAGCAAGCTGGCCTGGGGTCCCCCCAAAGGTAGCCAGAGACAAGCCCAGGATCACCCAGTCTGCAGCAGGGTGCAAAGGTTTGGGGTCCCCCCCAAAGGCAGCCAGAGCCAAGCCCAGGGTCCCCCGAGCATCAGCAAGATCTACACCTGGAGTCCCCTCAAAGACAGCCAGAGTCTAGCTCTGAATCCCCAGAATGTCAGCCAAAGCCAAGTGAGGAGGCACCACGGTGTTCTCAGGGCCAGGGAGAACCAGCCTCCACGTGGGCCCAGAGTACAGAGGAGCTGACCCGGGGGGTGGGGGTGGCATGAGCACCTATACCCGGGCCCAGGATCACCAGAGCCTTACCCCAGTCAGCAGGTGCCGAGTTCAGAGCCGCCACGGCCAGTACGGGAGCTGACACCCAAGGCACCTGGCTCCCTGCCGGGGTCAGCAGGAGCCAAGCAAGCTGCCTCTCCGCTGGGGAGAGGTAACAGGCGGCCATGAGGCAAAGAAATGAAAACATTCTTCAGCTCAGGCTCCAGTATCCAAGAAGTCGAAGGAGGAGGAGGAGGAGTTTCCTGTAATCCAGACGGGAGGCCCAAATTGGGATGGGTGTGGAAGGACCAAAATCTGACTTTTATAACATTTCCATTCGCCCAAAAAGAAAACTCAATGCCCGTTTGCACAGTCAGTCCTCATTCTCACCCACAGGCCCTGGTAACAACAAATGTACTGTCTGTCTCTATAAATTTGTCTTTTCTGGACATTTCTTACAAGTGGACTCTTACAGGCTGGGCGCGGTGGCTCACACCTGTAATCCCAGCACTTTGAGAGGCCTAAGCGGGACGATTGTTTGAGCCCGGGAGTTTGAGACCAACCTGGACATCATAGCAAGAACCCTGTCTATACAAAAACATAAAATAAACAAATTAGTCAGGCATGCTGGTGCACACCTGTAGTCCCAGCTTCCAGGGAGATTGAAGTGGGAGGAAGTTGAGCCGGGGAGGTCGAGGCTGCAGTGAGGCATGATTGTGCCACTACACTCCAGACTGGGCGACAGAGCAAAACTCTGTCTCTAAAAACAAACAAAAAACATAGTACATTCCTTGGAGGGAAGCCAATAGATTGTACAGGAGCAAGAACCTCTTTCTCATTCACCCCTCTATCCTGAGTGCCTGCCATATAGGAGCAAGATAAATAACTACAGAATGAATAAGTAAATAAGTACATGCACGCAGCACTCCACAGAGAGGCTGGCTCGCAGTCAGCATCCGTCCAGCACAACCACCATGACTGGAGCTGCCACCTGCTCTGAAGAGAGGTTCTCTTCTCTGGTACAAGCATCCCACCACAGGTGGGAAAGAAGAAGACTGGCCCTCTAGCCACACCGAGGTCGGCACGGCTTTTCCTGTAACTACGCTCTAATTTCTCCTGGTGTGCTCTTATTTTCTATATGTGTAAATTATGTGAATTTAAAATTGCATGCTAAAGCCGCTCATAAGGCCTCACTTTGTGCACAATTTTTGAAGATAATATGTCTCACTTCAAATTTTTTTAAAAAAATTATTTGGAGGAGTGATCTTAAAGATGACAGGTCTTAGGCGTATAGACACGTGAATTTAAAATTGCATGCTAAAAACCGCTCATAAGGCCTCACTTTGTGCACAATTTTTGAAGATAATGTGTCTCACTTCAAATTTTTTTTTTAAATTACTAGGAGTGATCT
This sequence comes from Homo sapiens, assembly GCF_000001405.40. Classification (NCBI taxonomy): domain Eukaryota; kingdom Metazoa; phylum Chordata; class Mammalia; order Primates; family Hominidae; genus Homo; species Homo sapiens. The sequence goes on along the minus strand of NC_000005.10, from coordinate 180,670,797 downwards.
TAAAGATGACAGGTCTCAGACGTGTGGACACATGGCACAACATGGCCACACGGTGTCGCCATGGAAGCAGTCAGCAAATTGTTGGCACCGTTCCTTCCTCAGTATCTTCAATCCTGGCAGCTGTGTCCCAGCACCTCACTTCTGCAAGTGCTTTCCGTGGGCACACTGCTTTTTGGCGCTTATCACAGTGAGAGATGGGCATGCTTTAAGTAGCAGCGCCAGTGCCAGAGCTGAGAAACTCAAACAAGTCAATGTCTGAGAATCTGTGAGGTAGAAGACACAAGGTCGTGGAGAAAATGAAAGACGGTCTTCAAGTGGAAAGGTATGACACACACACACACACACACATACACACACACATACACATACACACATATACATACACACACACATACATACACACACACACATACACATACACACATACACATACACACATACACACACATACACACATACACATACACACATACACATACACACATACACATACACACACATACACATACACACACATACACATAGACACATACACACATACACACACATACACATAGACACACACATACACACACATACAATACACATACACACACACATACACGCACACACACACCCCCCTAAGTGAAAGGTTAGTTTTGATAAATGTACATATAGAATTGTGTAGGTTCTTCAGAAACACATTGCTTCAAATAAAATGGAACCATCTTGAACCTTTGGCGCATGGTATCTGACTCTGTCCCCAGAGCCAGGAAGAAGGACTCAAACCTTGTTTCCCACAGAGCCCTGGATGGTTGAGGATGGGCTCCTATCCCCAGGGGGGCCAATTTCAGGAGGAAGGAAGTCAGTCACAGGCGTGCCCTGAGTTGTGGGGATGGAATGAGGTTGGGCCGTGGGGTGCTGTCTGAGTCTTCCTCTTCCTTCATTCAGAGGGGCACCCTGAGCCCGGGCCAGCAGCTGCCCTGACCACAGGGCAGATGGCTCAACTGGCAGGCCCCCAGATTCATTCCTTGTAGCCTGCCTGCCTCCCTTCCTCCCTTCCTTTCTGCTTTCTCTCTTCTTTCTCACTGGAAGGGATTACACTGCCCCTCTAGTTCTGTCACTTGCCTTTTTCACCCAACGATAGCTCGTGGCCATCTCCCCACCTCAGTACCCAAAAACCAACCAAATTTGCTCCACGGCCATCTGAGAGTCCGCTCTGCGTAGTCTATTATGTGACCAAAGCCCTCCTGGGGCTTTTTCCTCTCTCACATCAATGTGGAGGTTTTGACATTTACACACTACAACTCAGAGGCACAGAAGTTCTTTGTCCATCAATGAATGAAATTGCTGTCAACACTATCCCTCATTTCCACAGATAGTGTCAACAAACAAACTTCTGCCTACAGTTTGTTCAGCTGTTTCTAGATTAGATCGCAGCGCCTCCCAGGATAGCACGGGCTCCCTTGGGTCAACGGCTGGAGTGTCAAGGTTCCCCCCACCCTCATTGTCTCCCTGCCTCTCTGAGTGATCCCAGTCTGGACGTTGCACAGGCTCCCCGAAGTTCACTCTCCAGCACCAGGAAGGATTGGGGTCTCCTCTGTCTTTGGCCATTCCAGTGTGGCCGGTCTGACGTTCTGCCAGGTGTGTGCTGTGGGGACTGGCCCAGAGACCCCTTTCCAGCCTGCCCGGCCTGCACTGAGCAGGGCTTTCTCTGGGAGGCCTCCTTGGGCCTATCGCTGTGGCCATTTCCCTTGGCCCTCAAATGTCTGCTGTCCATGGGGCAGGTGCTCCAGCCGTGTGCTGGGTGTGGGGTTCTGTGCAGTGCTCACGTGATAAGCCTCAAACACACAAAGCACTGCCTCCACAGCCTGAGATGTCCTCCGCCCGCTGTCACACGCCTAGTGTCTTCCTGGGCCAAGGCCCAAGTACTGGGGACACAGAGTCCCTCAGACGACCCAGGCCTCATCTGCCTGCTGCTAGGGTCCTGTCTCGTTCTCTTCTTCCTGTGTCCCTATGGCACGCACAACTTTCCCAGGGGAAATGGCTCTTATGCCATAGCTGCTTCCTTTCCCACTTCATGCCTTCATTTTGTAAACTCTGTGGTCTGAGTCCTCCAAGCTTGACTTTTTCGGAGTTCAAAGCAAAAGTATTTCTTTGTCTACCACCAAGCACTTGCAAATCAAAAGTCTTCCAGTTTTCAGGATGTTTGCTCTGCTCTGCATTTCAGAACATTTAATCTGAAATTCACAGTTGAGTCATTCATCCTTTGTGATCCCCCTTCTCTTTCCCACCCTCCAGCAGGCTAACCTGGGCATGCTACATATGGCAGTGGCAATGTCGTAAGATTGTAAAGGGACAAGGTCTTCACATCGTCACTTTTGCTGAATTAAATTAACATGGCTAAGAGGCCGTTTCTTTTTCAAAGGGAGGAGAAATTGACTTCAATTCCTTTTTTTTTCTTTTTTTTTTTTTGAGATAGAGTCTCTCTCTCACCCAGGCTGGAGTGTAGTGGTGCGATCTCAGCTCACTGCAGCCTCCACCTACTGGGTTCACACAATTCTTCTGCCTCAGCCTCCCGTGTAGCTGGGATTACAGGCACCCGCCACCACGCCCAGCTAATTTTTTTGTATTTTTAGTAGAGATGGGGTTTCACCATGTTAGGCAGGATGGTCTCGAACTCCTGACCTTGTGATCCACCCACCTCGGCCTCCCAAAGTGCTGGGATTACAGGCGTGAGCCACCGCGCCCGGCCCCTGACTTCCATCCTTAACAGGAGAAGCTACAAACACACATTGTAAAAGTGCATGAATATAAGGAGAAGTGAGGCATGGTGGCCATCTTTGCCATCTACCACATTAATAGAAGAGAAAAAATAAAATAAAATAAAATAATAAAAAACTTGATGGATCCTTAAACTGTAAGAAAGAAGGAATAAATGAACCACAGAATGATGAAACAAATAGAAAACAAATAGTAATATGGTAGATGTCAACCCAAATATATCAGTAATTACATTAAATGTAAATGGACTAAAGTCAAAGATTGTCAGTCTGTTTTTCTTAAGCCAAGAGACATTTTAAATATAAGCATACAGCTACAGCCAGTTATGCTATAATACTTGTTTTAAATATTAGGGCCAGGCATGGTGGCTCATGCCTATAATCCCAGCACTTAGGGAGGCCAGGGCAGGTGGATCACCTAAGGTCAGGAGTTCAAGACCAGCCTGGCCAACATGGCGAAACCCTGTCTCTACCAAAAATAGAAAAATTAGCTGGGCGTGGTGGTGGGCACCTGCAATTCCAGCTACTTCGGAGGCTGAGGTAGGAGAATCACTTGAACCTGGAAGGCAGAGGTTGCAGTGAGCCAAGATTGCACCATTGCACTCCAGCCTGGGTGACAGAGCAAGACTCCGTCTCAAAAAAAAAAAAAACAAAACAAAACAAACCGTAAAACAAAAATTAGCTGGGCATGATGGCAGGAGCCTGTAATCCCAGCTACTCAGGAGCCTGAGGCAGGGGAATCACTTGAACTTGGGAGGCCGAGGTTGCAGTGAGCCGAGATCGTGCCACTGCACTCCAGCCTGGGTGAAAAGAGCAAAACTCCGTCTCTAAATAAATAAATATTGCCATTTTATTCAATGCACTGACATATTGGAGGGAATTTGAGCATAATGTGACTTTTGCATTTGTTCATACACGATTTCATTTGCAAAACACACCAAGTGCATGCAGAACATTATGCCCAGTCCAGCTGCTCAAGCAACGTAGAAGTGCGCAGAAAGCACACGCGCACACTTCCAGCTGGGTGTGTGACGAGCCACAGCCGTGCACATTTGGCCGGACAAACTTCCACCCCACCCAGTTTCAGACAACCTCCCTTCCACCACCTCACGGTAAACCATAAGCTACAGCCCTTCCAAAACCACTTTAACAAGCAGCCTTGAGGTCTTGTACAGGGTAAAATGCCGCATTGATTGTAGTGTTTATGTAGTTCTTAACTATTTAACCTGCGTAAACTGTGCTGTCAATTTCTTGGCAACAACTTTATTGAGATATAATTCACATACCGTATACTTAATGTGCCTTTCAGTATATTCACAGAGTGCTGCAGCCATCAGCACAACTGAACTCCTGACCCTGTGATCAGGAGAATGTTTCTGCCACTAGAAAGAAACCCCACACTCTTTAGGTAACACTCCCTCATGCTTCCATCCCTCCCCCACCCAAACCAATAAACAACCAGTAATCTACTTTCTACGTCTTTTCCCACTCTGGACATTTCATACAAATGAACTAGTATAATACGTGAGTTTTTTTGAGACTGGCTTTTTTTTTTTTTTTTTTTTTTTGAGACGGAGTCTTGCTGTGTCGCCCAGGCTGGAGTGCAGTGGCGCCATCTCAGCTCACTGCAAGGTCCGCCTCCTGGGTTCAAGCGATTCTCCTGCCTCAACCTCCTGAGTCGCTGGAACTACAGGCGCCCGCCACCACGCCTGGCTACTTTTTTTTTGTATTTTCGTAGAGACAGAGTTTCATCACGTCGCCCAGGTTGGTCTGGAACTTCTGAGCTCAGGTGATTCGCCCACCTCGGCCTCCCAAAGTGCTGGGATCACAGGTGAGAGCCGCCGCGCCCGGCCCTGACTGGCTTCTTTCAATTAGCATGATGTTTTCAAGATTCCTCTGTTATACCTCATTTCTTATCATGTGAGAATATTCCACCGTGTGAATACGCCACGTGGTATTTATCATTCACTAGTTGACGGACATGTGAATTGTTTCCATCTTTGGGTTATTCTCAATAATGCTGCTATAAGCATTTGTGCACACATTTCTGTGTGGACCTACATTTTCATTTCACTTCTCCTGGATCTACGTATGCCTGTGAGGGAAATTGCTGGGTCATATGGTAACTTGATGTTTAACATTTTGAGGAAGTGCCATAATGTTTCTAAAGTGACCATACCACTTACCACTCCCACCAGCAGTAGATGAGAACTCTTTGATTTCTCCACATCTTTGCCAACAACGTTTATTTTCCATTGTTTTGCTTATGCTCATCCTAGTTGGAATAAAGTGGTATCTCGTGGCTTACATTTGCATTTCCTTGGTGGATAATGATGCTGGGCATCTTTTCATGTGCTGATTTGGCCATTTGCACATCTTCTTTGGAGAAATTATTAAGATCCTTTGCCCATGTTTAATTGGGTTATTTGTGGTCTTTTTATTATTGACTTGTAACTGTTCTGTATAGATTCTAGATAAAGTTCCTTATCAAACATTTGATTTGCAAATATTTTCTCTCATTCCATGGTTTTTTAAATGTATAATGTCCTTTGATGCACAAAAATGTCTTAATTTTGATGTCTAACTTATCCGTTTTTTCTTTTCTTGAATATCCTAGCTAAGCTTCCATTGCCAAATGAAGATTTACTACTTGGCTTTCCTCAGAAGTTTATATTTTCATTTTTACATTTAGGCCTTGAGTTAATTTTTGATCCATTTTGAGTTAATTTTTGTCTATAGTGTGAGGTAAAGTTTCAACTTCATTGCTTATGGCTATCCAGCGGTACCAGCACCAGTTGTTGGAGAGGCCATTTCTTCTCGTGGTGAATGGTCTTAGAAGCCTTGTTAAAAATAAAATGACCAAGTAGAGAATTCTGGGAAGATGGAGGAGCAGGAAGCCTGAGAAATCTCTCTCCTCACCTAGACAATAATACTCACAGAATCTGTCTGTTGTAGCTATTTTGGAACTCTGAAGTCCATTGAAGGCCTGCAACTTCCAGGAAGACTCGGATGGTACATTGTGGTTAATTTTGGTCAGTGAGCTCTTAGCATAGTTGCAGCTGCCTGTTCCCCACCTCTCATCCCCACAGCAGGCAACTGTGCACGTTCCTGGAGCAGCTTACAGATCGATGACAGGAGCCAGGGTAGGTATGAGAGACCCTGTCCTCCAGATATTGAGTCTCTGTTCTGATCACTGATTGCTTCATCTGATCACAGAAGTGCAGACAAAGAGGCAGCAACCCTTGTTATTGCACTTTGCACTTTCTCCTTTTTTCTTTTTCTTTTGAGACGGAGGCTCGCTCTGTCGCCCAGGCTGGAGTGCGGTGGCGCGATCTCGGCTCACTGCAACCTCCGCCTCCCGGGTTCACGCCATTCTCCTGCCTCAGCCTCCTGAGTCGCCGGGACTACAGGCGCCCGCCACCACGCCCGGCTACTTTTTTGTATTTTTAGTAGAGACGGGGTTTCACTGTGTTGGCCAGGATGGTCTCGATCTCCTGACCTCGTGATCCGCTGGCCTCGGCCTCCCAAAGTGCTGGGATTACAGGCCTGAGCCACCGCGCCCGGCCACCTTCTCCCATTGTTACAAGCCCCTCCCTTGCTGGTAAAGTGACTTCCAGGGGACTTAAAGGACTGGTGACTTTTTCCCCCTTAATTTCTCTCTATTTCCCCTTCTTGGAGCCAGACAATAAAAAGTAGGACATTCAAAAGCAACTGCATATACAGGGGAAATTAGAAAGCTACCAAGCATGCCCAGGGGAAGGCGTAGTTTCAGAAAAGGCCTGAGAAGACCTTAAGGTTACACCTCAAGCTGGTCCTTAGCTCCAAGACAGTCTACAACAATTCCAAAAAAACAAAAAAGCAAAACACAAACAAATACAAAAGCAAAAAACAGCAAACCCTGGAGAAAGGGGAAATTCTGATTTTCAGAGTCACTAAAGTGTTAGATTCAAATGTCCAGTTTTTGACCAAAAAAAAAAAAACAAAACCAACAAGAGTATACAAAGAAACAGTAAAGTATGGCCCATTCAAAATAAAAAATAGACCAACAGGAACCATCCCTGCAAAAGAGCTGGGAGAGGATCCACTACACAAAGACTTCATACCAACTGTCTAAAATATGTTCAAAGAGGCCAGGCATGGTGGCTCATGCCTGTAATCCCAGCACTTTGGGAGGCCAAGGCAGGTGGATCATGAGGTCATGAGTTCAAGATCAGCCTGGCCAAGATGGTGAAACCCCGTCTCTACTAAAAATACAAAAAATTAGCCGGGCACGGTGGCAGGCACCTGTAATCCCAGCTACTCAGGAGGCTGAGGCAGGAGAATTGCTTGAACTCAGAGGGCAGAGGTTGCAGTGAGCCAAGACCGGGCCACTGCACTCCAGCCTGGGTGACAGAGTGAGACTCTGTCTCAAAAAAATATATATGTGTATGTGTGTGTGTGTGTGTGTGTGTGTGTGTTTTCAAAGAACAAAAAGAATCTGTGGAGAGGCCGGGTGCAGTGGCTCACGCCTGTAATCCCAGCACTTTGGGAGGCTGAGGCGGGTGGATCACCTGAGGTCAGGAGTTCGAGACCAGCCTGACCAACATGGTGAAACCCCATCTCTACTAAAAATACAAAAATTAGCTGGGCGTGGTGGCACACTCGCCTGTAGTCCCAGCTACTCAGGAGGCTGAGGCAGGAGAATCGCTTGAACCTAGGAGGCAGAGGTTGCAGTGAGCCAAGATCGTGCCATTGCACTCCAGCCTGGGGAACAGGGTGAGATTCTGCCTCAAAAAAAAAAAAAATCTGTGGAGAAAGTCAAGAAGATGTAAGAACTAAATGGAGGCCCAGGCGCGGTGGCTCACACTTGTAATCCTAGCACCTTGGGAGGCCAACGCGGGTGGATCACGAGGTCAGAAGATCCCGTCTCTACCAAAAAAATACAAAAAATTAGCTGGCCGTGGTGGCGGGCACCTGTAGTCCCAGCTACTCAGGAGGCTGAGGCAGGAGAATGGCGTGAACCTGGTAGGCGGAGCTTTCAGTGAGTCGAGATTGCGCCACTGCACTCCAGCCTGGGTGACAGAGCGAGACTCTGTCTCAAAAAAAGAAAAAGAACAAAATGGAAATGTCAATAAGGAAATAGAAAACCTAAAAAGAGCCCCCCAGAATTCTGGAACTGAAATGCACAATGACTGAGAAGAAAAATTTACTAGAGACGGTTTTCACTATGTTGACCAGGCTGGTCTTGAACTTCTGACCTCAGGTGATCCACTTGCTTCGGCCTCCCAAAGTGCTGGGATTACAGGCATGAGCTACCGTGCCCGGCCTACATTTTTTTTTTTTTTTTTTTTTGAGACAGAGTCTCTCTGTCACCCAGGCTGGAGTGCAGTGGCACAAACTTGGCTCACTGCAACCTCCACCTCCCAGGTTCAAGAGATTCTCTTGCCTCAGCCTCCCAGGTAGCTGGGACTACAAGCGCCCAACACCATGCCCAGCTAATTTTTTTTGTATTTTTAGTAGAGACGGAGTTTCACTATGTTGGTCAGGCTGGTCTTGAACTCCTGACCATGTGATCCACTTGCCTCAGCCTCCCAAAGTGCTGGGATTACAGGTGTGAGCCACTGCTCCTGGTAAACAAAATTTTTAAATGACAGAAGTAAGTCCCTCTTTATCAGTAATTAAGTGTAAATAGATTAAATGCTACAATCAAGAGATTGAAAGGGTAAAAACATGATCCAATTATATGCTGTCTACAAGACACTCATTTTAGATCCAAAGATACAAATTTGAAAGTGAAAAGATGGAACAGGATATTCCACAGAAACAGTAACCAAAAGATTGCCCGTGTGGCTATAGTGATATCAAACAAAATAAACTTTGAGCCAAAAATTGTTAGAAGAGACAACAAAGGACATTAGATGTTGATTAGAATAATAATAATAATAATAACAATAAATGTGACTGGGCATGGTAGCTCATGCCTGCAATTTCAACAATTTGGGAGACCAAAGCAGGAGAATCACTTGAGCCCAGGAGTTCAAGACCATCTTGGGCAACATGGCGAAACCGTGTCTCTACAAAAAATACAAAAAAAAAAAAAATTAGCTGGAGATCGTGGTGCACACCTGTAGTCCCAGCTACTGGGGGGTGCTGAGGACGAAGGATCACTTGCACCTGGGAGGTCGAGGCTGCAATGAGCCATGAGTGCATCACTGCTCTCCAGTCTGGGTGACAGAATCAGACCCTGTCTCAAAAAAAAAAAAAAAAAAAAAAAAAGAGTAAGTACATCAGGAATATATAACAGTTACAAATATATATACCTAATAACTGAGTCCCAAAATATATGAAGAAGCAAACGTCGGCAGAACTGAAGGGAGAAGTGGACAGTTTACAATAATACTTGCAGAATTCAATACCCTACTCACATTAATAAACAGATCAACCAGACAGAAGATAAATAAGGAAATAGAGAACTTTAAAACACAGCAAACCAAGTAGATCTAACAGGCATATACAGAGCAATCTACCCAATCACAGCAGAATATACATTCTTCTCAGGGGTACATGGGACATTTTCCAGGATACAACATATGTTAGGATACAAATTAAGTCTCAAAATATTTTAAAAGATATCATACAAAATATCTTCTCCAACCAGAACAGGATGTAGTTAGTAATCAATAACAGAAGGAAAACTGGAAAATTCACAAATTTTTGGAAATTACACACTTTTAAACGATGAATGGATCAAAGAAGAAATTGCAAGGGAAGTTAGGAAATACTTAGACACAAAGGAAAACAAAACACAACATACCAAAACTTATGGATGGAGCAAAAACAATGCTAAGAGGGAAAGTTTATAGCTATAAACATTTAGATTTTTTAAACCTCAAATCAACAACTTAACGTGATAATTTAAATAAGCAGGAAAAGGACAAACTAAAATCAAAGCTAGCAGAAGATTAAAGATGAGATAAATAAAATAGAGAATAGAAAAATCACAGAGAACATCAACAAAACCAAAAATTAGTTCTTCAAAATTATCAACAAAATCACACACTTTAGCTGGATGGGCTAAGGAAAAAAGGGAGAAGAATTAAATTACTAAAATCAGAAATGAAAGTGAGGCCATTAGTACCAATTTTACAGAAATAAAAAGGATTATACAAAAGCAACATAAGTAATTGTACAGCCACAAATTGGATAACACAGATGAAATGGACAAATTCCTAGAAACACAAAATCAACCAAGACTAAACCATGAAGAAATAGAAAATCTGAACAGACCTATAGTAAGAAAATTGAAACAGCAATAGAAAATCTCCCAACAAAGAAAAGTTCTAGGCCTGATGGCTTTGCCACTGAATACTACCAAACATTTACAGAAGAATTAATACCAATCCTATTCCAACTTTCCCAGGAAATAGTAGAAGAAACACTTCCTAACACATTCTACGAGGCCAGCATGACCTATACCAAAGCCAAAGACACTTCAAGAAAACTGCAAACCAACATCCCTTACAAACATTGATGTAAAAATCCTCAACAGGCCAGGCACGGCAGCTCACACCTATAATCCCAGCACTTTGGGAGGCCCGGGGGGGTGGATCACTTGAGGTCAGGAGTTCAAGACCCGCCTGGCCAGCATGGTGAAACCCCTCTCTACTAAAAATACAAAAATTAGCTGGGCGTGGTGAACATACCTGTAGTCCCAACTACTTTGGAGGCTGAGGCAAGAAAATCGCTTGAACCCGGGAGGGGGAGGTTGCAGTGAGCCAGGATCGCACCACTGCACTCCAGCCTGGGGGACAGAGCAATACTCTGTCTCAAAAAAAAAAAAAAAAAAAAAACTCAAGAAAATACTGGCAAACTGAATTCAGCAGCATATTAAAGAGACTATACATCATGACCACGTAAGATTTATTGCTGGATTGTAAGGATAGTTCAACATGACCAGGCACAGCGGTTCATGCCTGTAATCCCAGCACTTTGGGAGGACAACGCAGGAGGATCACTTGAGCCCAGGAGTTCAAGACCATCCTGGGCAACATAGGAAGACCCTGTCTCTACAAAATAAACCTTTAAAAACAGAACACGCTTTGGCTACGCAGGCTCTTTTTTGGCTCCGTATTAATTTTAGGGGTTTTTTTCTAGTTGTGTGAGGAATGATGGTGGAGTTTTGATGGGAGTTGTACTGAATTTGTAGATTGCTTTTAGCAGTATGGTTATTTTCACAATATTCATTCTACCCATCCACGAGCATGGGATGTGCTTCCATTTGTGTCGTCTAATGATTTCTTTCAGCAGTGTTTTGCAGTTTTCCTTGTGTAGAGATCTTTCACCTCCTTGCTTAGGTATATTCTTAAGCATTTTGTTTTATTTTTGCAGCTAGTGTAAAAGGGGTTGTCTTGATTTGATTGTCAGGCTGGTTAATGTTGGTGTGTAGCAGAGCTGCTAATTGTTTTGTTTGTTTGTTTTTGAGAGTCTCACTCTGTCGCCCAGGCTGGAGTGCGGTGGCACGATCTCTCGGCTCACTGCAACCTCTGCCCCCCGGGTTCAGGTGATCCTCCCACCTCAGCCTCCCTAATAGCTGGGATTACAGGTGTGCGTCACCACGCTTGCCTAATTTTTTTGTAGAGACTGAGTTTCGCCATGTTCCCCGGGCTGGTCTCGAACTTCTGGGCTCAAGCGATCCTCTCGCCTGGGCCTCACGTTGTGAGCCACCGCGCCCAGCCCATTTTACTTTTCTTTACAAGCCGGGGCTCACTGTCTCCCCTGGCTTGGCGGGAAGGCGGCGGGCGGGGGAGGCGGAGAGGTGGGGACTGGGGGGTGGGGGGTGGCGGCGGGGACGCGGGGTGGGGGGTGGCGGCGGGGACGCGGGGTGGGCGAGGACTGCGATAGAGGGAAAGGAGGAAGGGAAATTAGGGGCTTACCGCAGGCAGAGCAGGCTCCTTAGTATAAGAAGGTGGAGAGGAGGAGGGAGGTCCCGGTTCTTTTCCATCCCACGCCCTCCACTTCCCAAGCTGCGAGAAGGAAACAGAAACAGAACACCCAGAGGCGTCCTCGGTTGCTTCTTGCCCTTCCACCACCGTCCAGCAATAAGGCGAGAGGAATCAAGTGCAGGACGGAGGCGGCGGGCAGTCCTAGAAAAAACCACAGACAGGTGAGCTGTGCGCACGGACGAGGCCACCCCCCTGCGGAGCGGCAGGCAGGGCGCGGGGAAGGAGCCGCGCGGCTTCCCGGGCTGGGCCTCTGTCCCTCTGTCCCTCTGTCCCGCTGTCCCTCTGTCCCGCTGTCCCTCTGTCCCTCTGTCCCTCTGTCCCTCTGTCCCTCTGTCCCGCTGTCCCTCTGTCCCTCTGTCCCGCTGTCCCTCTGTCCCTCTGTCCCGCTGTCCCTCTGTCCCGCTGTCCCTCTGTCCCTCTGTCCCTCTGTCCCTCTGTCCCGCTGTCCCTCTGTCCCGCTGTCCCTCTGTCCCTCTGTCCCGCTGTCCCTCTGTCCCTCTGTCCCTCTGTCCCTCTGTCCCGCTGTCCCTCTGTCCCTCTGTCCCGCTGTCCCTCTGTCCCTCTGTCCCTCTGTCCCGCTGTCCCTCTGTCCCTCTGTCCCGCTGTCCGGCGCGCGCAGCACACGCCTCTCCACATGGCCTAGAGTTATTTTTAATGGGTATAGAGTTTCAATTTTGCAAGATGGAAAGAGCTCTGAAGACACGGATGGGGGTGACGTCGGCACAACAATGTGATCATACTTCATGCCGCTGAGTTGTATACCTAAAAACGGTTAAGATGGTAAATTTTATGAGTATTTTACCACAATTTTTAAAATAAGAAATAGAAACTTAAATTAAGAAGCAAAAAACAAACAACCCCATTTAAAAGTGGGCAAAGGACATGAAAAGACACTTCAAAAGAAGACATACAGCCAACAAGCATATGAAAAAGATCCTGGACATCACTAATCACTCCAGCCTGGGGGACAGAGCAAGATCCTGTCAGTGAAAAAGAAAAGAAAGGTCAAATGTCAAATCTATTAAAAAATAACTAAGGCCGGGCGCAGTGGCTCACGCCTGTAATCCCAGCACTTTGGGAGGCCGAGGCGGGCAGATCACCAGGTCAGGAGTTCAAGACCAGGCTGGCCAACATAGTGAAACCCCGTCTCTACTAAAAATACAAAAATTGGCGGGGCTTGGTGGCATGTGCGCCTCTAGTCCCAGCTACTCAGGAGGCTGAGGCAGGAGAATCACTTGAACCCGGGAGGCAGAGGTTGTGGTGAGCCAAGATCTGCCACTCCATCTAAAAATAAATAAATAAATAGGCCTGGAGCGGTGGCTCACGCATGTAATCCCAGCAATCTGGAAGGCTGAGGAGGGCGGATCACGAGGTCAGGAGTTTGAGACCAGCCTGACCAACATGGCGAAACCCGGTCTCTACTAAAAATACAAAAATTAGCCGGGTGTGGTGGTGTGTGTGCTTGTAATCCCAGCTACTCAGGAAGCTGAGGCAGGAGAATCGCTTGAACCCGGGAGGCAGAGGTTGCAGTGAGCCGACATTGCACCGCTGCATCCCAGCCTAGGCCACAAAGTGAGACTCCGTCTCAAAAATAAAATAATATAAATAAATAAAGCTACAATAATTGCTAAAGGATACATTTTATTAAAAGACATTAAGCGCAGCATCAAAACCATAAAACCTGGGAGGAGGAAGAGTAAAAATGGAGAGTTTCTGTATGAGATCAAAATTAAGCTATTACCATCTTAAATTAACTTGTTATAAGATGTTTTATGTAAGCCTCAGGGTAATCACAAAGCAAAAGCCTGTAATAGATGCACAAAAGATAAAAAGAAAAGAACCAAACCATACCGGAGTACAAAGCCATCAAACCACAGAGGAGGAAAACAGAAGCTCTACAAAACAACTAGAAAACAATTTAACAAAATGGCAGGAGTAAGTACAGGCCTATCAATAACGACCTAAAATATAAATGGATTAAATTATCTCAAAGACGTAGAGGGGCTGAATAAATAAAAAGGCAAGACTCAATTCTATGCTGCCTCAGCTCAGCTGTAAGGACACAGGTAGACCGAAAGTGAAGGGGTAGAAAAAGATATTCTATGCAAATGGAAACTAAAAGAGAAGAAGAGTAGCTATACTTATATCAGACAAAATAGACTTGAAGTCAGAAAGTGTAAAAAGATACAAGCAAGGTCATTATATTATGACAAAGGAGTCCATTCAGAAAAAGGATATCACAATTACAAATATAAATGTACCCAATACCAGAGCACTCAAATGTAGAAAGCAAATATTAATAGATCTAAAGGGAGAAACAGACTGCAATCCGATGATAATAGGGGACTTCAACACCCCACTTCCAGCAGTGGGCAGACGATCCCAAGAGAAAATCAGTAAAGAACACTGGAGTTAAATCTATACTCTAGACCAAATGGACATAACTGATATTACAGAACGTTTCATCCAACAGCTGCAGAATACACTTTTTTTTTTTTTTTGAGACAGAGTCTCGCTCTGTTGCCCAGGCTGGAGTGCAGTGGCCTCCCAGGTTCAAGCAATTCTCTTGCCTCAGCCTCCTGAGTAGCTGGGATTACAGGCACATGCCATCACGCCCAGCTAATTTTTTGTATCTTTAGTAGAAACGGGGTTTCATCATGTTGGCCAGGCTGGTCTCGAACTCCTGACCTCATGATCCGCCCGCCTCAACCTCCCAAAGTGCTGGGATTACAGACATGAGCCACCGCCTCTGGCCAGAATACATATTCTTTTTTTTTTTTTTTTTTTTTTTTGAGACAGAGTCTCGCTTTGTCGCCCAGACTGGAGTGCAGTGGCGCGATCTCAGCTCAGTGCAAGCTCTGCCTCCTGGGTTCAAGCAATTCTCCTGCCTCAGCCTCCTGAGTAGCTGGGACTACAGGCGCCTGCCACCACGCCCTATTTTTTTTTTTTTTTTTTTGTATTTTTAGTAGAGACGGGGTTTCACCGAATACACATTCTTCTTATCAGCCCATAGAATATTCTCCAGGATACACCATATCTTAGGCCACAAAACAAGTGTCAACAAATTCTAGCAAATTGAAATCAGATCAAGTATCTTTGCTGACCACACTGGAATAAAACTAGAAAATCAGTAAGAAGAGAATTTTGGAAACTGTACAAATATGTGGAAATTAGACGTGTTCCTGAATGGTCAAAGGAGAAATTAAGAGGGTAATTTAAAATTTTACTGAAACACACCAAAACCTAAGGTTGCCGCAAAAGCAGTACTAAGAGGGAAGTTTATAACAATAAGCTCCTACATCAAAAAAATAGAAAAATTTCAAATAAACAACCTAAAAGTACACCTCAAAAAAACAAGAGCAAACCAGACCCAAAATTAGTAAAAAGGAAAGACATAATAAAGATCAGAGCAAAAATAAACAAAATAGAGACAATTTTTTAAAAGATCAACGAAACAAAGTTTTCTTTTGACAAGATAAATGAAACTGACAAACCATTAGCTAGACTAATTTAAGAAATACAGACGAGGCTGGGCGCAGTGGCTCACGCCTGTAATCCCAGCAATTTGGGAGGCCAAGGCGGGCGAATCACCTGAGGTCGGGAGTTCGAGACCAGCCTGACCAACATGGAGAAACCCCATCTTTATGAAAAATACAAAATTAGCCGGGTGTGGTGGTGCGTGCCTGTGATCCCAGCTACTCACGAGGCTGAGGCAGGAGAATCACTTGAACCCGGGAGGCAGAGGTTGCGGTGAACCAAGATCGCGCCACTGCACTCCAGCCTGGGCAACAAGAGCGAAACTCTGTCTCAAAAAAAAAAGTACATTCTTTCAGTCCTTCCACGTTCTTCTGCCTGCTTTGTTCTAGCCGTGCTGGCAGTTGATTAGATGGTGCTCACCCAGACTGAGGGTGGGTCTGCCTCTCCCAGCCCACTGACTCAAATGTTCATCTCCTTTGGCAACACCCTCAGACACGCCCAGGAACAATACTTTGCATCCTTCAATCCAATCAAGTTGACACTCAATATTAACCATCATATATATTAAAAATAAAAACGAAGAGATATTCCATGTTTATGGATTAAAAGAAAGTTGGTTTGCCCCAAATTGGTCATAGGCTAATTGTAACTCTAATCAAAATCCCAGCATATCATGTATGTGTGGAAGCTGATTAAAAATAAGTCTAAAATTTAAATGAAAATTCAACTTGTGAAAAATTCCAAAGTCACTTTTGAGGAACAGGTTGGAAGGACTTACGCTTCCAGATATGTAGATTTTTATATAACTAAGATAATGAAGATATGGTACTATTGAAACCGACTCAATAGTCCCATAGATAGTTTTTTTGGATAAATGTAGAAATGGACGCTTCTGGTCTTAAAGCTTGAACCTTAAGTTTGTTTTAGCTGAGTTCCTTCCTCAGGAAACAACCTTCAGTCCTCTAAAAAAATAAAAAAATAAAGTATCAAAGAACTGAGAATCGCCAGATCTCCACATCCAGACAATGATGCTGGACCGTTCATTCATCATGACTGCTTCCTTGCCCCTCCTTAGTTTTTGTTTTGTTACACATTGTTTCATTTCTTCCTTGCTATGTAAAGCCCTGGTTTTAGTTGGTCAGGGAGATGGATTTGTCAGCCACAGCACCTGATTAAAACGTTCCTCCTTGACAATACTTGTCTCCTCTGTCATTGGCTTTCTGTATGGTGGGCGGCCGGACCTAGACGGAACCTGTGATGTTTTGGTGACAGTATCAGTACAAAAATAGACAAAGCTGAGAAAATGAACCATTCCGTGTAGATCGTTAATGTATGACTGAGGGGGAGCTAGAGAAAAGTGTAGAAAGCATGACCTTCTCATCATGGTCATGAGATAGCAAGATACCTTTTTTTTTTTTTTTTTTGAGACGGACTCTCACTCCGTGACCCAGGCTGGAGTGCAGTGGTGCAATCTCTGCTCACTGCAAGCTCCGCCTCCCAGGTTCACGCCATCCTCCTGCCTCAGCCTCCCGAGTAGCTGGGACTACAGGCCTCCGCCACCACACCTAGCTAACTTTTTTGTATTTTTTGGTAGAGACGGGGTTTCACCATGTTCGCTAGGATGGTCTCGATCTCCTGACCTCGTGATCTGCCCACCTCGGCCTCCCAGAGTGCTGGGATTACAGGCGTGAGCCACAGCGCCCGGCCAGTAGCAAGATATCTTTACGGGGTGAAAGACAGAAACTCGACACATGCACCTACTTTACGCTACACAGAGAAGGCAATTCCAGGGCCCGCAGGTCTAAATATGAAAGAGAAAATAAAACATTAAAATTTATAAGTGATAAAAAATAGTAAATATCTTCATGACATCAAGATAAAGGTTTCTTTAAAAGAACACAAGGCCGGGCGCAGTGGCTCACGCCTGTAATCCCAGCACTTTGGGAGGCCGAGGTGGGCGGATCACCTGAGGTCAAGAGTTCATGACCAGCCTGGCCAACATGACGAAACCCCATCTCTACTAAAAATACAAAATTTAGCCAGGCATGGTGGCACACGCATGTAGTCCCAGCTACTCGGGAGGCTGAGGCAGGAGAATCGCTTGAACCCGGGAGGCGGAGGTTGCAGTGAACCGAGATCTTGCCACTGCACTCCAGCCTGGGCAACAGAGCACGGCTCCATCGCAAACAAAAAATAATAGTAATAAAATAATGAGATAACACAAGTAACACCAGCCATAAGGAAACCAATTTGTAAGCGTGCTGTGTTAAAATGAAAATCTTCTGTCTTCATCCTGCCTCCCAAAAAGAGAGCATTACGGAAGTGAAAATTCAGACCCCGAATGAGAGGAGATGTGTAGCACAATGTACCCAAGTTCCTTTTCCACAGATGGCCTTGGCAGTGTCTGCCATCCCACATGCTCTTCTGCATGTGACCTTGCCTCTCTCTAATAATTGTGGGGAACATGTCCCCTAGGCAGGCTGTGACTTCTTCGAGACTATCTAGTTTCCACCTAGTTCTCTTGGATAGTCACTCTGGGGAAGCCACCTGCTACACAAGAACTTCAACTAATGTGGGATTGTCATGCTGGAAAGACACCGAATGGGCGCACTGGTTGGCAGCCCCAGCTGAGCTTCTGGACAACAGCCAGCACCGACCACCAGGCATCCAACCCAGCTAAGTAAGCCCTTGTCAAATTCCTGACTCTCAAAAGCATGAGCAAAACGAAATAGCTGCTGCTTTGCCCCACAACATCTTGGAGTACTTCATTATACAGCAATAATAAAGGAACTGATAAAAGACTCATATGCAGAATATATAAAGAACTACAAATCAATAAGAAAAAGACAGATGGGGAGTCGTAAAGAGCAAAAGACTTGAAATCTAAATGGCCAATTATAAAAATGTGCTCAACCGCAATGGTAATTAAGGAAAAGCTAATAGATCAGGCATGGTGGCTCACCTCCGTTAATCCCAGCACTTCGGGTGACTGAGGCGGGTGGATTACCCGAGGTCAGGAGTTTGAGGCCAGCATGGCTAACATGGTGAAATCCCGTCTCCACTAAAAATACAAAAATTAGCTGGGCATGGTGGCGTATGCCTGTAATCCCAGCTTCTCCAGGGGCTGAGGCAGGAGAATTGCTTGAACCTGGGAGGTGGAAGTTGCAGCGAGCCAGGATCGCGCCATTGCACTCCAGCCTGGGAACAGAGCAAGGCTCTGTCTCAAAAAAAAAAAAAAAAAAAAAAAATAGCTAATGAAACCGCAATGAGATGCCAATGCAAACCAACTAGAATGGCCACATTTTAAAAACCAAAACTGACAATACTGTGGGTAAAGGTGTGCGGCAGCGGTAACTGCTTACGCTGCCATGATCATGCAAAATGGTACAAATCACTTGAAAAAATACTTGGCACTGGCTACCAAAGTTGAAGACAGCATGTGTACACCAGGAAACACATACAAGAGTGTTGTGGCAAAAGTTGGAAACTGGTAACCACTCAAACTTCCATTAATAGTAGATGGACAAATTGTGGTGTATCCTACTGTGGAAAACTATGCAGTTACGAAAATGAGCAAAGTATAGATCATCACAGCAATATAGATGAATCTCACTAATGGTGTTGAGCAAAAGAATATAAATGGTATGAAGGCACTGAGATAAAGTGGAAAAAAAAAACAACAAGCAAAATGTGAGCTAAACTGTAGGGACACAAACACACAGAGAGGAGTAATAGACACTGGAGACTCCAAAAGCAGGGAGGGAGGGCAAGAGGTAAGGACTGAAAAATCACCTTTTGGGTAGAGTGTCCACTGTACAGGTGACGCGTACACTAAAAGCCCAGACTTCACCTGTACACAATATATGAATTAAGAAATCTGCACTTATGTCCTCTAAGTATACTTTAAAATTTTAAAAGCACATTCTGGCTGGATGCGGCGGCTCATCCCTGTCATCCCAGCATTCTGGGAGGCTGAGGCAGGTGGATCACTTGAGCCCAGGAGTTCAAGACCAGCTTGGGCAACGTGGCGAAAACCCAGCTATGCAAAAAAGTCACTGGGTGTGGTGGCGCACATCTGTGGTCCCAGCTACTTGGGAGGCTGAGGTGGGAGGATCATTTGAGCCCGGGGGGTGCTGAGGCTGCGGTGAGCAGATATCATGTCACTGCACTCCAGCCTGGGTGACAAAGTGAGACCCTGTCTAAAACAACAACAACAACAAAAAAAAAACAAGTATATTCTGGGCGGGGCACAGTGGCTCATGCCTATAATCCCAGCACTTTGGGAGGCTGAGGTTGGCAGATCAGGAAGTCAGGAGTTTGAGACCAGCCTGGTCAACATGGTTAAACCCCCATCTCTACTAAAAATACAAAAATTAGCCGGGCATGGTGCCGGGTGCCTGGAATCACAGCTACTCAGGAGGCTGAGGCGGGAGAATTGCTTGACCCCAGGAGGCAGAGGTTGCATTGCAGTGCAGTGAGATCGTCCCACTGCACTCCAGCCTGGGCAACAAAAGAGAGACTTTGAGAAAAAAAAAAAAAAGTACATTCTGAAAAAAAAAGCAAAACATATATTTTGATGATAAAATGATAAACAAAAGCAGGGAAATGATAATGCCAGGGTAGTGGGCATCTTCTGGGGTTGGTGAGGGGTTTGTGATGGGAAGTGAGGGGATGTGGGGATGTCATTCTACATCCCTTGGCCTGGAGAATGGAAACACAGGTATTTGTTGCTTTAAAATTCAGGTTTATAATATGCTGATATATTATGTACTTTCCATAAGTGTGTTACATCTCATAATCTTTCAAAGCTAAAAAAAATCAATATATGATTGATAAATACCTAACTTCATGTATCGCTTGGTTACCTAGTTTCCCCAACCTTATTTGTTAAATTATCTACACTATCCGCACTGATTTGTGATTCCAGCTTAATAATATAGCCACTTCTTACCTGGATTGGAGAGAGCTGGTAGTGGTTATTGAAAATCTACTCTTGCTTTTTGGCGAGGATGAAAGGGCTTTGGGGGGCGGGGGTGGGGGGATGGAAAATGTGAATGAAACGAAAAGCAGGGAAGGAGGTTGAGACAGTCATGGTCATGGGCTTCATTATTAAACAGGAAAATTCTAGAGACAAACTGAAAAGAGAACGGAAGTCTGTAAGAGGGTTGCCAAGTCAGAAAGCAAAAGCAAAGTGTCGCTTTATTAAAAAGGTGGGGGCGGGTCCTGATTGAGCTGAGAACAAAACATCTGGGGGAGTTCTAAAGCTAGGAGGCCAGGCCTGCAGGGAGGGGGTCGGTCATCCCGGGTGTCCCGCTCACGGGTGCGGCTTCCGTCGACACTGTCCGTCGACACTGTGCAGGTAAACACTGCTGAACGGGTTTTGTTTTTGCTTTTTTTTTTTTTTTTTTGGCTCCCAGACTGGAGTGCAGTGGCGCGATCTCGGCTCACTGCAACCTCCTTCTCCCGGGTTCAAGCGATTCTCCTGCCTCAGCCCCCCCGAGAAGCTGGGATTACAGGCGCGCACAACCAAGCTCGGCGTATTATTTTATTTATTTGCTTGTTTATTTTTGAGACTGGGTCTCCCTATGTTACGCCGGCTGGTGCCACTATTTTCAAAGATGTAACATACTATTTTTACAAGGATTGCTTTCTTGTTTAGTCTAGATTTTACCGATGGAAAGAAAGGACGGAAAAGAGCGCGTGCCGCATTTTGCTCCCCTTTGCCCACCAGGCTCCATCACCTCCGGAGCGCATCGCGAGACCGTCTGCGTTACCCGCGTCCCCGCGCCCGGAGCCGCCCAGGAGGGGGCCCGGACCCTGTGGTGCGGAGCGCGCACTGCTCGGGTGCACCGGACGCCCCGCGGCGGGCTGGGAGGGACGGGGGGAGGGGGGCGCGGGGAGCGGCCTGAATCCCGGGCCCGCCTCCGGCCCCCGCCCCGCCCCGCCCCGCCCCAGGCCAGCCGGCGCCCGCGCGGACACTTTCAGCCCCGAGCCGCGGCCGCTCGGGTCGGACCCACGCGCAGCGGCCGGAGATGCAGCGGGGCGCCGCGCTGTGCCTGCGACTGTGGCTCTGCCTGGGACTCCTGGACGGTGAGCGCGGCGAACGGGCCACCCGCCCGAGCGTGGGGCTGGCCGGGGAGGGGGTACCGCGCACCTGGGGCGGGCGCTGAGACCGCTCCGCCGGGTACGGGCGGGGGACACGGTGGCCCTGGTGCGCGGACGCCTGAGGGGAGCACGGCGCTTGGGGCGCGGGACCTCGGGATGAGGAAGGGGCGGGCGGGGACCGCAGCCGGGTCAGGGCCAGGGCGGCCGGGCCGCGCCTCGGCGCAGGGGTAGCTCTCCCGGCCCCTGAATCCGCGTCTCCGTCGGTGGCTCCGCGTCCTCGGAGCCGGGCCCTGCCGGGCTGCGCGCTGAGCCCGGATCCTTCGCGCCCTTACTCGCTTCCCCGCGGGGTCCCCGCGCCGCGCCGTCCCGACCCACGCGCGCCGGAGATCCATCCCGGCCGGGCCCCGGACTTGGGTGCGCACTTCCCGACGCCCAGCGCCTCCGCTCGCGGTCGGTCCCCCAGAGGGCGCTCGAGGCGGGCTTCCCCCTCCCCGTGGCCGGCGACGGCGGGGACAGGGGCCGGGGACCACCGCGCGCCCGAGGCGGACGGGTGCAGGTGCACGCTGGCACTTGAGACGAATCTTGAGGAGGCGAATCGCGGGCTGTCAGCGCCGCAGAAGGGGCGGAAGGCCAGGGGTCCCCGGATTTGAGGGGACAGGGGCCTCGAAGGCCAGCTGAGGAGCAGAGGCCCCCGCGGGAGGGTCCCCTGCACAGGAGAGGCGGGGTTCGGTTTGTGTTGGGATGTGGCTCTGGCGGGGAGAGACGCAGACCTGAAGCGGAGGCGGAGGGGTTGGAAAGAGGGACTGTGGGGGATGAGCGGGCGGCAGAGGGAGTGGATGGAGATGTCAGGGAGGAAGCTGAGAAGATGAGCTGGGAGTCCCCACGGAGCTGGTGTCCCTGGAAATCAAAGGGTGTAAGGGCGGGGTCAGGGGTTCCAGTGTCTGAAGCCCTGAAGTCAGCGACGGGGACCTCAACATTTCTGCACGCCATAGGAATTAAATACTGGCTTTACATGCTTGTAATTCTCACAGGGAGTGTCAGACCCATTTTACACATGGAGAAGCTTAGACCAAGGACATGTGTCACTTCCCCAAGGTCCCCAGGAGGCCCAAAGTAAGCCTGACAAAGCCTGCCTTTGCTCACCACCTGTATGTCCACTGGCTGAAGGGCAGAGGACAGGAGAGGGGGCAGGTCTGGCTCAACCAGGGGAGGAGGGAGGAGAACATCTATCTGGGCCTCCGAGTCGGGCAGGCCAGATCAGGGCGCTGCCCTTGGCCCTCCTGGACCCAGCCCAGGACCAGGCTCCCACAGGTGCTCAGGATGTATTTGTCGAGTGGCTGGTAGACCTTGGTTGGACTGCAGGGCTGTAGAATGGGAGACGCTTATCCTGGAGGAGACATGGGACAGGCACCTGGGCGCAGTGTCTGAGCTGGGCTGAGTAGCTGGAGAGGAAGAGAGAGACCCGGGAGGGGAACCCTGGAGGAGGGGCCCAGAGGGCAAGGGGGCTTCCAGGGATCCAGGGAACATTCTGCAGGTATAAGGAGAACCAGGAGAGGCCAGTGTCCTGGTGCTCCCGGGTGGAGCACAGAGGGACGTGGGGTGAAGGGTGAGGAAGCTATTCCCTGCAGTAAGTAGTGACTCTTAGTGACCCAGTTATGAAGAGGAGAGAGGGCATTAGTTGGGCGCCCCATGGAGAGGGGTGTCCTGGGCTGGACCTGGGTTTGGCTGGTGGGGAGATGGCAATGAAGACAGAGGTCATCCCTCCGTGAGCCCTGCACCTTGCTGTACCCCCTGCTAGGCTGAAGACCCCGGGAGCCCCCAGCTTGATGGGGGATGCCATGGCGGAAGCACAAGCCCTCAGCTGCAGTCGGGTGTCAGGGCAGCTGGTCCGGTGGGAGCTGCAGTCGGGTGTCAGGGCAGCTGGTCCGGTGGGAGCAGGCCAGAAGCCTGAGCATCCTGAAGCTGACCCCTTAAAAGTGTGCTATTGATCATAGAACCAGACTCTTGTCCTGCCTCTGCCGTAAAGTCCTTTCTGTGTGACCTGGGCCCCCTCCTTTCCCCTCCCTGCACCTCAGTTTCCCCAAGCATAGCCATGGCACAAGCATAGCCATGGCACAAGCATAGCCATGGCACAAGCTGGCAAGCCCCGAGGTTGTGTGGGTTGTGTGTGCTTGGGCTGGACTCCAAGACCCAGATGCCTGCTGCAGTTCCACAGTCTTGCCCCAGTGGAGAGGGTAGGTCACAGATGTCTCTTGGGGCTTAGTCTAGAGAGAGGCCATTGGCACCTCTGCACTGTGGCTACCAGCTCAGGGACATGCAGGAGCAGGGTCTGCTGGGCATCTGGAGTGGCCTGGTCTCAGGACGTTTGCCCTTGCTGTGACCTGGGTCACAAAGGCCCAGATGTGGACAGATGTGTGGCCCAGGGATGCAAGTCACTGCAGGCAGGATGTGGGGATCAGGCCCACTTTACTTGGGCCTGGGGACCTTCTGCTCCAGCTCAGGGCTCTGAGGACTCGAATGCAGGTGCTGTTCCCTCATCCACCAGGCCTATGGCACAGAGCCAGTGTGGCTGAAGGAGTCCTGAGCCCTCCCAGAGCATAGGGCCCACATGGCTGGGCCCAGACAGGGTACGAGGTGTGATGTGTGGTCTGTCTGGCGAATTCTTCACTGTAACCCCCAGCAGTGGCACCCCGACCCAGGGAAGGAGCCTGCAGTTCTATGCAAGACCCCAGCATAGTGCCTGTTCGGGGTGGCCCAGGGAGGACTTGGACCTGGCCCCATCGCACAGGGGTTTCCTGTGCCTTGCAGGGACACAGACATGCCATCAGACGTGTATTGCCCAGGGATGAAAGTGTTCAGGGGCCCTGGTGAGGCCCAGCTGGTGGCTGTAAGCTGCACAGGAAGGCAGTGTCACTTCCAGCTAAGGGCTTCCTGGTGGGGTCTGCAGAACTCCAGGACAGGGAATTCCAAGCAGAGCAAAGAACCCCATGAAGCCCCAGAGACAGGCAAGTCCAGATGGTGAATGTGGCCAAGTGGGTGGTCCGGTGAGGCTGGAGTCTGGGAGGAGTGGATGGGAGGTAGGGGAAACGAGGCTGGAGATGCGGCAGTGCCAGCAGCAAGGAGGCTGGTGTCCAGGGGAGACAGGAACTGCAAGTGGATAACCCAGGGGATAAACTGGGGTGGAGGCAGGTAGCAGCTGGGGATGGTGGGGACAGAGGAAGTCCCAGGTCTCTGGCTTCAAGGATAATTTATCAAAGGGAGACCCTGGGAGAGGAGCAGGACCTTGGGTGGAGGTAGGCAATGGGATTTCCTCGGAGACCTCAGCTGATGCACCCGGCCAGATAAGGAGGGAGGAAAGTTGGGAGCACTTGAGTATGATGGGACAGAGGGGAATGGGGGAACCAGGGAAATTAAGCGAATCAGCTGCAAGGGGAGGTGCTTCTCTGTGTCTGGCTTACTCCCCTCCTGCTGCCGTATTTTCCTCCACAGGGCAGTTTTCTCTCCACCAAGGCCTAGCCTGTGCCCCACGTCCCTCTGAGATGCCCCTCGGAGTTGGGGGTGGGCAGGGAGAGGGGTCTGGAGAGCCTCTCACACCCCCTAGACTCTGAGCAAGATTCAGTCAGTGTGTCCAGCTGGAGCCAGGGATTCCTGAGTTTCGATCCTTTTCAGACACTGGCTTCCTCTGGAATCTGGGTTTTCCGGTCACACTGAGGAGACAGGTCTGGGAGCAGGAAGATGCGGGCATTCATTCCCGGAGGAGGAGCAGGGCGCCAGCCCTGGCCGGGCTGGACGGGGTAACAGCAGGCACACCCCCGGCCCTGTCTGAGGCCCGCACCACCCTAGCCCACGGCCAGGCCTGGGTAGATCCAGGTGGTGAGTAGGGGAGGCCCGCCACGTGGCCGGCGAGGTCAGCAGGGGTTCATGGGAAAGGACTTGTCGGCCACAGGAGAGGACATCCTGCCTGCATTTCCCTCTTCCTGCGGCAGGAGCTGGTGGCCCCGATTTAGCAGCACTGGGGGGCCACCTCTGCGCCAGCTGGGTTGTCTGATAACGCCGCTCGTCCTGCCGGCCAGCAAGCAGAGCCTTGACCCCACGGAAGCCGGGGAAACTGCCTGGCATAGCTGGCTGCCCCACGGCGGCCGTGTGCTGGGAGCTTAGCATCTGCTCAGGCCCCCTCCTCCTGGTCTCCACCCCCACGGGGCACTCAGGCAGCCCACGCTCCCCGCAGGTCCAGCCCTTCTCAACCTCATCACCACTCCCTGTTTCCAGCATCTTCCAGAAATTTGTCTCCATTCTGCCCCAAAGGGACTGCTGTAAATGAGCCTTCAGGGCCCCCCCCAACTCACCCACAAGATAAGCACCAGCTTCTTGGGCTCGTGGTACCGGCCCTTCCTGCTGGAGTCCCAGGCCATCCCTAGCCCCGCGTCCACCCAGCCTCCACCCACTGCACACACCAGCCCCAGCACCATGGCCTTTCGCCCACCCTGGACGTGCCCTTTGGGAGACTGCTGGGAACTCCGGGCAGACGGTGCTGCTCCAAGCGGAAGGGGCCTTCCGGGGCAGGTGATGGCTTCGTTCCCGCTCACAGTGTGCCTCAGACTTTCAGGTGGGTTTAGGGGAAGCCCCCATCATCACCCAACTCAACACACTGTCCTCGAAGCTACTCTAAATTCTACCAAATGGAGATTGATTTGTTTTAAGCAGCAAGCGTGCACCGGCACATGCACACAGATGTGGCGTGTCCGGCAGTGGGCCACACCTCCGTGTGAAATGGTTTCTCAGATTGCTTCACAGCAGGGCACGTACAGGTTTTAACCTCGTCACGCAGACCTTATTATGCTTATTTTGGAGATTAGGAAATTCAGGCCACAAGGGTGAAACGGCTCTCTAGATAATAGATGGCTCATTTCAGGGGGTTAATAGGTGTCTGACATCTGGTTCCAAATAGCATGGGGGCCAAGCGGGAAAGAAGGGGCAGGCACACAGGCCACTGTCCACATTCCCCAGGGAATGCCCTAGAGGGCTGGCCAGGTGGACTCTTCAATTTCTAACCACCTCATGGCCATTTTTACTTTGCTGTCCCAGAGACCTTTACAAAGCAGCATGTTGCAGACATTTCCCCCAGGTCCACCACACGCCCGGCGTGCCCCTCCGTGCACAGCCTCTCCACCCTCCCGGTACCCTGTGCCCTCTTTCCGCTCACGCCTACACCTGCCCACACATACTATGGCTTCTTTTGGTCCCTTGGATCCTCAAAACCAGCCATGGGTAAATTGCTGGCTAAGTCCAATCCTGGGAATATGCCACGACGAAAAGACACACAGAAGCCCTTGTCTTGAACTAAAGAACCGTTAAGAGCGGGTCATGGTGGCTCACGCCTGTAATCCCAGCACTTCGGGAGGCCAAGGCGGGCGGATCACAAGGTTAAGAGTTTGAGAGCCTGGCCAACACGGTGAAACCCCATCTCTACTAAAAATACAAAAATTAGCTGCGTGCGGTGGCAGGCGTCTGTAATCCCAACTACTCGGGAGGCTGAGGCAGGAGAACTGTTTGAAACTGGGAGGCGGAGGTTACGGTGAGCCGAGACCGTGCCACTGCACTACAGCCTGGGCAACAGGGCGAGACTCCACTTCAAAAAAAAAAAAAACCTGTTAAAAGTGGTAATGAGCCGGCCGCTCCACAGAGCTATGGAAAAGTGCAGGAGTCCTGGGTGGGGAGCCTCGGTGTGAGACGCTGGGGAAGCAGCACAGCAGCTCAGACGTCAGAGGTGGGGAGGGGCTGTTCCAGATCTAGGGCACGTGGAGGTCTGGAGCCGCACCGGGTGGGTGGCAAGGAGGCCAAGGAGGCACCAGATTCTGTCCATAAGCAGCAAAGGGGCAGGGGATGGTTTTAGGCAGGAGAGGGACTTGTGTTCTAGAAAGATCATCTGACCCCTGAGCAAGGACTGGGCCAGTGGGAGACACTGGTATTGCCACCCGGGGGGAGAGCCATTGAGGCTGGCCAGCAGCGGGGAGGGGAGGAGGGAAAGTGGAGGGACAGCACGCCTGCAATGCCCGGGAGGGGTTCTGCGGCCAGAAAGCATCCACGCCAAGCTGCTGTCAGGATGGTGAGGAGAGGTGGGGGCAGGGGCCTGGCACTCTCAGCCACCCCACCCACAGTGCCCTCCTCTTGGGCCCGCTCCTACTCAGTCTGCAAAGCCCATTTCAGCTCAGAATGGAGGCACTTGGTGACCGATTGGCTGTGGGGGATGAGCGGGGTCAGGAATGTCTGGTGGGTGAGCATCACCTGGACAGCCAACCTAGTGGGAGGGAGAGCAGGGTTTCCCACGCTGATGGAAGAGATGATTACATTTTGTAAAATGCAGAAATGCAAATTATACAGACATCTGTAGAATGAATAGTAGCTTCCCTTAATCCTGTCTTCCCAAGACAATATCTTAACGGTCATGTGTTTTGGAATGCGTTAACCTCTGTGTGCTAGCTTTCTATCTGTACAGTGGCAATACGGAGGCAACCGCAGGGGTGTGAAGGCATGTGGAATGCACACATGCGTAGGGCTGTGCTTCACATGGACAGTGCTCGGTGCACGCTTGCTGCTGTTGCAGCAGGAGGTCTTGGGAAAGGAGAATTTGGAGAATTTGCCATCGGTGTATGGATGCTGTTTATCATTACTGTGTGGGTGCCTCCTTCTCCACATTCTCTCCAGCGCTGGGAATTCTCATTCTTTGTGGTACTTGCTCCTCTGGCGGGTGCACAGTTGTGAGCTCCGTGCTTCCAGTCATCCTACCCAGTGTTGGATGTGGGCTGGGCTCGAGGTCTGGGGTCCTCCAGGACTGGAGCCCAGGAGAGCTGTCAGGGAGGGTGAGAGCACAGAGTGGGGTTGAAGCCCCCCGGTGTGCCACCATCGAGAGAGAGAGTACATCCAGCGAGCAGGACAGGGCCCGAGGCCGGCTGGGGACCTGGGCCTGCTTCCACGGCCTCATCACCTTTACCATGCTCCATCTGCTCCATCTACTTGAGGGCCCAAAGTCACCGGCACTCTGGCCTGTGTGCCCGCCTCCTGGGCCAGCAAGCTCCTAATCAGTCTACAATGCCCCTTTCAGCTCACATGAATCCTCTCCCACCAGCGAGGCCCCCATGCTCTGACGACAACACAGGGTCACAGTGATACAGCAGCTGTAGCAAACCAAGCATTCAGGAGGCAGGTGAGAGCAGAGGGATCCGTGTGCATGAGCCAGAGACAGCTTATTCTTTTTTTTTTTTTTTTCACACAGAGTCTCACTCTGTCGCCCAAGCTGGAGTGCAGTGGCGCGATCTCGGCCCACTGCAAGCTCTGCCTCTCAGGTTCACGCCATTCTCCTGCCTCAGCCTCTCGAGTAGCTGGGACTGCAGGCGCCCGCCACCACACTGGGCTAATTTTTGTATTTTTAGTAGAGATGGGGTTTCACCATGTTGGCCAGGATGGTCTCAATCTCTTGACCTCCTGATCCGCCCACCTTGGCCTCCCAAAGTGCTGTGATTACAGGCGTGAGCCACTGTGCCCAGCCGACAGTTTATTCTTAACCATGTTGTTTGTGGTCTGTAGTTCCCAGTCATCCTAGGGCCAATCCACATCTCACAAGTGGGAAGACTGGGGCTTGGAGAGAGGAAGTGATTTGCCCAAGACCATACAGCAAAGAGCGGCAGTGCGGGGTGCCCAGCCGGGCATGCGGGCTCAGCTCTCTCAGACCTGCAGGATGTGCAGTGAGGACCGACAGCCCCTTAAGCTCTGAAGGCACAGGGGCTGCTGGCCAGGTTAGCAGGGGCCACCAGACAGGACGCTCCTGCTGCCTCCCCCCAGGTCCCTGCAGAGGCCTGGCCCCAGGAGTGAAGAGAGGGTGCAGGTGACCCCCTCTGCCCAACCCCAGCTCAGCCAGCAGCTCCGTTGCTCCCCGCCAGCTCCCTCCAGTCTGCAGCCTGGCTTCTGGCTGCCTTTGTCCTCCTGGGCTCAGCTGCCCAGAAAGTGTGTGTCCAGCTGGCAGGCCTGCCACACAGTCCCCGTCTTCCCAAGCACCCCAGGGAGAGGGAGAAGTAGGGCCAGGCCCAGGGTGGCCACCGCAGGGCCATGCTCTCTGCCAATGTGGAGGGGCCCCAAGCTGATGGATAATCCCAGTGCCATCCCTGTGCCGGCTGTGTTGGGCCTGGGGACAGAGCCATGGGCTGATGACACCCCGGCCCAGGAGCCGCTTGATGACTCGGACCCTCCACGTGCTGTGGGTCAAGGCCAGAGTGGGGATGACATGCTCAGCTGGGGGCAGCAGTTTGCCGGGCACAGAGGACGAGGGAGGACAGAGGACACAGCCCAACCGGGCAGGGAGGAGCCTGCTGGAGAGCAGGGGCCTGGGAGGCTGGTGCTCAGGGTGATGGTTGAGAGAGATGGCAAGGCGAGGGCAGGGCTGCGAGGATGCAGCTAGTTCTACCCTCAATCTCTCATGCCGGCCCCTTCACCTCTGCACCAGGACCTGGACCCAGCCATGCCCTGTGGACTCAGCCATCATTCGGAGAGCAGCTCCCAGAAACCAGCTAAGGCCAGCGCTCACCCACACTGCCCCGTAGAGAGGGCCGGGACCCTGTCCCACCAGGGTATGGCACAGCCAGCCCATCTCAGTCCCATCCTGGTGGGCCCAGAGAGGATTTGATGAGAAAATATGGGTTCTGTACAGAACAAGGGACGCAGGACACGCAGGTGTGGAGCCGAGGGAGGGGCCGACTCCCACATCATGGGAGGAAAGCAAGGCTGGCTCTCCCAGCAGCTCTCACTGGGCTGGGCTGGGTTTTCCCTCCGTTTTCAGGAAAGAAGCTTTTGAAAAAAACGGCATCATTAGCTTAAAGGGCTTTGCCCTCAGCCAACTAGGGCATGAAGCCAGATGGAGGCCAGGCCCCAAGGAGGGGTGTGGTGGAGGCCACTGGGGCACAGGGCCCAGGCAGCCATGTGCCTCCTACGTGGGCCTTCCTGCCTGCAGGGGTCTCTGAGGCTTCATGCTAGGGGCTAGGAGGAAGGCCGGGCTGGGGTCTGGCCTGAGCCTCTGCCCCCGGCCTTTGGAGGGGAGCCTGGTCCTGGGGCAGGGACCGACCTGGACTCAGCCAGACTGGGCTCCCACGTGGCCACCTGCTGCTGTGAGGCCTGGCGCCTCAGTTTCCTCACTCGCTGACCTGGCTGTTGAGCCCTCCCTCCCAGGCTGCTGTGAGGATCAAATGAGGCAGTCGCAGCCGGCCGGCTGCCCCCCACCTCGCTCGCTGCTAGTGCCTAACCCATGGGACGTTCCCCCACCCTGCCTGGCCCTCATGGAGGGGTGCCAGCACTGCCCAGGGGAGGTGCAGGACCCTCCTGTGCTGCTCCCACGCCCGCCACGCCTGTGGCTGACGCCAAGGCCCCGTGGCCCGAGGACGGAGGGTGTCCTGGGGCTGCTGACAGTACAGAGAAGAGGAGGTATGCATTCTGGCCTTTCTGACCTCCACCCGGTGCCTGCCCCAACCACGCTGCTGCAGGCTTGGGAGCCAGGGCTTTGCGGGGCCTCAGGGAAGGAAGAAGCCAGTTCCCGGGCCAGGAACAGGAAGGCAGGGGGAGCGCAGCAGAGGCCAGGATGACAGTGCTTCCTGCTGCGGGAAGGGAAGGACAGCAGAGACAGACAACAGCCAGGCAGGAAGGATGCGCCTTCTTCAGGGCTGCAGGTGGGGGCTGGGCAGTCACAGAGCCTCTGGACGTGGCAGGCTGCAGGCCTGAATCTGCCCAGGGAGCCCATCCTATAAAACAGGAAGCATCTTTTCCAGTGGAACAACAGGGTCTGACAAGAGTCTCTGAGGTTTCAGAGGTCTGTTGAGCCATCCATCCATCTACTTTCCATCCATCCAACCATCTAACCATCCACCCATCCATGCTTCACCCATATGCCCACCTTTCCACCATCCATTCATCCTTCCATCCAGCCATTCGTTCATCCTTCCATCTGCCCGTCCATCCATCCTTCTGTTCAATCTACCCATCCATGCATCCTTCCATCTGTTGATCCATCTTTTTATCCACTCATCCATCCGTCCATCCATCCATCCATCCACCCATCCACTCATCTACCTGTCCATCCATCCATTCATCTGTCTGTCCATCCATCCACCCATCCATCCTTCTACTCACCCACCCATCCACTCCTCCACCCACCCATGCATCCATCCATCCATTCATCCATCCATCCATCCGTCCACCCATCCACTCATCTACCTGTCCATCCATCCATTCATCTGTCTGTCCATCCATCCACCCATCCATCCTTCTACTCACCCACCCATCCACTCCTCCACCCACCCATGCATCCATCCATCCATTCATCCATCCATCCATGCGTCCACCTATCCACCTACCTACCCATCCATCCATCTACCCTTGCACCCATCTACCCACCTACCCACCCACCCACCCATCCATCCATACTTCTTCCATCCCTCCATTTTTTTCATTCAACGAGTGTTCACTGAGACTTTACTCTGTGCCAGGTGCTGTGGGAAGCATGGGGTGGGGTAAGAAAGAGCTGTCTTGGTCCTTACCCCATTGAAACTTACTGCCTATTGGAGGACATGGACAGATATAACTTAAACAAACAAACACATAAATAAATAATTCCAAGTTGGGACAGGAAAGATGCCGTAAGCAGCCAGGAGGCTAGGATGGAGCCATTTTGTAGGGGTGAGGAGGCCGTGTCTAAGCTGAGTCCTTAGCGTGAGAAGTCAGCCTGGGGGCACAGAACAATCTGGAGGCAACAGTGGCTGGAGGACGTGAATGTGAAGGGGATGAACCACGAGGGTGTGGAGACAGGGACAGGGACCAGGAGTTTGGATTTTCTTGGGAGTGCAGGGGAATCCAGTGCACCGGCGAGATTGAAGCACAAGTGTGATCAGGCCTGTGCTTTTTAAAGTGTCACTCACTGCAGGGAGCGGGGCCCAGAGGCAGGCCTGGAGGACGACAAGAGCGGGCCCCAGAAGCCACTTTGGGGTGCGTGCAGCTGTGCTGGCCCCAGTGAGAGAGCAGGGGCGGGCCCTAAGGTGCATCCAGCCTGACAGGCTTCAGTGGTCTGGCCAACGGATGGGCTGGGAGAGGATCTGGGGAGAGGGAGCTATCGAGGGAGGAGCCTTTGGTGGGGCTGGAGGGGGTGCACGTCTGCAGTTTAGCATCGGAAACGTAGACTGCGGGTTGTCTGTGGGGTGTCCCAAGTCCAGTGGGCAGCTGGATGCTTAAAACTGAAGTTGCAAACAGTAGTCCTGGCTGGAG
The DNA here is from genome assembly GCF_000001405.40 of Homo sapiens. Taxonomy (NCBI): domain Eukaryota; kingdom Metazoa; phylum Chordata; class Mammalia; order Primates; family Hominidae; genus Homo; species Homo sapiens. Next base: position 180,638,174 of record NC_000005.10, on the reverse strand, counting down.
CTAGAGACCTGGGAGGTGTCTGGACTCCAGAGAGACGGCGGTGGCCAGCACTGTGTGTTGGGCAGAGGGGAGCTGGGGAGAGGTAGGTCACAGATGCTGCCCAGGGGAGAGCATGCGCGGCTCCCTATCCTGTGTGCCCACTAGGTCTGCAGCCTGGAGGTCATAAGAGCCCCGCCCAGTGGCTCTGTGAAGTGAAGGAGCTGCACTCCATTGGTGGATGAGGGGAGACTAGCAGAGGGGACAGTGAACAGCTGTGGCCATGAAGGGGGATAGGAAAAGGGGCAGTGGCTGGAAGAGAGTGTGGAACCAAGTAATTATTTTGTTTTGTTTTTAAGATGGGAGATGGGCCAGGCATGGTGGCCCACACCTGTAATCCCAGCACTTTGAGAGGCCGAGGCAGGTGGATCACCTGAGGTCAGGAGTTCGAGACTAGCCTGACCAACATGGAGAAGCCCCGTCTACTAAAGATACAAAATTAGCTGGGCGTGATGGCGCATGCCTGTAATCCCAGCTACCCAGGAGGTTGAGGCAGGAGAATCACTTGAACCCGGAAGGTGGACGTTGCAGTGAGCCGAGATCACGCCACTGCACTGCAGCCTGGGCGACGAGCTAAACTCCATCTCAAAACAAACAAACAAACAAAAACGATGGGAGATGATTGCATAGCAAAGACTGGTGATTAGAAGAGAAATCCGTGGTGGGGGGACCCTGGGCACGATGGAGGGCCTGGTTTGCAGGCAGGAGGCATGTCAGAGGATTTCTGAGGCCCTGGCTGGCAGTGTGGGTTTTGGGATGTAGGAAGATGGGGAGTTTTTCTTTTTTCTTTTCTTTTTTTTTTTTTTTTCCTGAGACGGAGTCTCGCTCTGTCCCAGGCTGGAGTGTAGTGGCACGATCTCAGCTCACTGCAACCTCTGCCTCCCAGGTTCAAGCGATTCTCCTGCCTCAGCCTCCCGAGTAGCTGGGACTACAGGCACCCACCACCGTGCCCGGCTAACTTTTGTATTTTTAGTAGAGATGGGGTTCACCATGTTGGCCAGGATGGTCCGCCCGCCTCAGCCTCCCAAAGTGCTGGGATTACAGGCATGAGCCACTGTGCCCAGCCAGTGGGGTGTTTCTGTCTCATGATTTCGCCCTGTCGATGCTGAGAGTGAGAGGGGAGGAGCACCCTGAACTGTGTGCACCCAGGAAAATGGGGGGGAGGAGCTCCTGTGGGGGCCTTGTGCTGCCAGTGTTGTGCTGTTTGGAATGCATGCTGTCTCAGGGTTGGGATGCAGGACAAGAGGGGAGGGAGCATGCAGAGAGGCGGCTGCGGACCCCACGCACCAGGACGGGGCAGCACCGGGAGGGCACCAAGGGGTGGGGAGGAAGCAGTGGGGGCTTTGATGAGGCTGAAGGATGTGGATCAAGAACAGGGGAAGCAGGGAGAGAGACGTAGAAGACAGGTGTTCCGGGATGGCGCGGTCTCTGGTGATGACCAGGTCCAGGATGCGCCCACAGAACTGAGTGATTCAGGAGGAGAAGATGTGAGGGCCGTGCAGGGGGGATCTCAGAGGCCAGGGTGCTGGTGAGTCAGCCCTGTGGATGGTGAAGTCATGGAGAAGGGCAGGAGCTGGGGTGGGGGGGATGGTGAGCCAGGAGCTACGGTCAGCAGAGAATGAGGGGAAGTGACGGGGGGGTGCAGCTGATGACAGCTTTAATGGGGAAGAGGGCGGTGCCGCCAAAGAGCAGGACCCTCAGAGGGACTGCTGTAGGGAGGGCAGGTGGCTGCGAGGAGTTCAGGCATGTGGGGTGGAGGGCAGTAACCGCCCAGGGCCAGTGCCGTGGCCAGAAAGCCAGGCTTCACATAAGGCAGGAAGGGACATTCGGAGTGGACAGTGAGGTCTACAGCAAAGTTTGCCGATCACACAGGGCACAGTGGAAGGTTGGTAAAGGCAGAGGGGTCACTGGAATAAGTTATGGTATGTCATGAAAAAGGAGACATGTCATGAAAAAGCTTGCGTGGATGGGCAAAAGGGTTGGCAAGCGCGATGGATGGTCCTGCTCAGCAGTGATGCAGGTGCTTCCTTTGGTGGCACGGTGCCTTCAGGAGGAAGCTCCTACAGACTCCTCTCCCCATCCACCCTTCACCCATCCACTTACCTTTCACCTGTCCACCCACTCTTCCACCCATCCATCCATTCATCCTTCCACCCACCCATTCATCCATCCACCCACCCACCCATCCACCCATACTTCCATCCGTCCATCCATCCATCCACCCACCCACCCACCCATCCACCCATACTCCCATCCATCCATCCACCCACCCATCCACCCATACTTCCATCCATGCATCCATCCACCCACCCACCCACCCATCCACCCATACTTCCATCCATGCATCCATCCATCCACCCACCCACCCACCCATCCATCCATCCACCCATCCATCCATCCATCCATCCATCCATCCATCCATCCACCCATCCATCCATCCATCCATCCATACATCCATCCATCCATCCATCCATCCATCCATCCATCCATCCATCCATCCATCCATCCATCCATCCATCCATCCATCCATCCATCCATCCATCCATCCATCCATCCATCCATCCATCCATCCATCCATCCATCCATCCATCCATCCATCCATCCATCCATCCATCCATCACCCTCCCATCCACCCACACTTCCATCCCACCACCCACCCACCCATCCACCCATACTTCCATCCATCCATCCACCCACCCTCCCATCCACCCATACTTCCATCCATCCATCCATCCACCCACCCTCCCATCCACCCATACTTCCATCCATCCATCCATCCACCCACCCTCCCATCCACCCATACTTCCATCCATCCATGCATCCATCCACCCATCCACCCATACTTCCATCCATCCATCCACCCACCCACCCATCCACCCATACTTCCATCCATCCATCCACCCACCCACCCATCCACCCATACTTCCATCCATCCATCCACCCACCCACCCATCCACCCATACTTCCATCCATCCATCCACCCACCCTTCCATCCATCCATGCATCCATCCACCCACCCCTCCACCCATACTTCCATCCATCCATCCATCCACCCACCCTCCCACCCATACTTCCATCCATCCATCCACCCACCCACCCACCCATCCACCCATCCACCCATACTTCCGTCCATCCATGCATCCATCCTCTCAGCCACCCACCCACCCACCCATCCACCCATACTTCCCTCCATGCATCCATCCACCCACCCACCCACCCATCCACCCATACTTCCATCCATCCATGCATCCATCCACCCACCCACCCACCCATCCACCCATACTTCCATCCATCCATGCATCCATCCTCCCACCCACCCACCCACCCATCCACCCATCTGTCTGTCCACTCATCCGTCCATTTATTCATCTGGCGATTCATCATTCATCCATCCCGTTTCCATCCATCATCCATCTGACCATTCTTTTTTTTTTTTTTTTTTTTGAGACGGAGTCTTGCTCTGTCGCCCAGGCTGGAGTGCAGTGGTGCGATCTCCACTCACTGCAAGCTCCGCCTCCCGGCTTCACGCCATTCTCCCGCCTCAGCCTCCCAAGTTAGCTGGGCGCCCGCCACCATGCCCAGCTAATTTTTTGTATTTTTAGTAGAGACGGGATTTCACCGTGTTAGCCAGGATGGTCTCAATCTCCTGACCTTGTGACCCACCCGCCTCAGCCTCCCAAAGTGCTGGGATGACAGGCGTGAGCCACCACGCCTGGCCCATCCATCCTTTCTTATATCCACCCGTTGAATCTCCTTTGCACATCTCTGTCTTGGGCTTAGGAAGATGAATAAAATTGAGCCTCTGTTCAGATGTGATCATAAAACCACAGTTCAGTCTGGTTGTGTTCTAGCAGAAGCTCGAAGAGGAGGAGGCTGATGCTGCCTGAGTGATGAGGGCGTCTGAACTAGACCCTAAAGAGGGAGGCCCTCGGGAGGGAAAGAAGGAAGGAGGGATGTCCCAGGAAAAAGGACAAGTGTTCAAGACAGGAAAACAACAGGCACTTTGGGAGGATGGGAGGAGGAGGTCCATGCCTCCTAGGAGAGGAAGCTGGAGAGAGGCAGTGGCTGGAGGGCAGAGGCCCAGCCCACCTTGCTTTATCTTGGGAACAGAGGGGAGCCATCAGAGGAAGCTGGGCTGACAGCTGCCGCACGGTGGAGCTGGAAGGTGTCTGCTGGATGTGCACTCCTGAGAAGGGGGCCACCAGCTCAACACTCCAGACCTCAGTAGGGGTGGCGGGATGTTCTCTCTCCTGCAGTCATGGGGCTGGGCAGGTGGACACTGGCCTCGAGCCTGGTCTCCTGACCTCCCGCTAGGTCCACTGGGAAGGTAGAGTCTATTCATCCGGACGGGTCTAGCCCCATGCTCATCATCCCTCCTCTGTAGCTCTGAGGACAGACCACCACCCACTCCGGTGCCCACATACATGCCCAGCTGTCTTCCTGGCATGGACTTACTTTCCACTACCTGGAAAAAAAATCCCCCTCCTTCAAAGCCCAGCTCAGAGGGATTCCTTCTTAGCCCCTCACCACCTGAGGGGAGCCACCTCACTGCAGGGATCCCCCAGCCCCTGGCCCAGACTCCTCTCATGGCAGCCCCAGGGGTGCAAGCTACGGGCTGCCAGTGCCCAGGCCCCGCTGTGGTGCATGTGAGGGCTTGGCACCCCCAAGGGGAAGGGGCTGCAGAGCCCACAACCCCCTTCCACCTCGGGGCCCCAAGGGAGGGCTGGCAAAGCAAAGACTCGGTGGTAGTCACAGCAGCAGACAGGCGAGGCGCTGCCTTCTGAGGGTGGCTGGAGGGCCTCAGTGTCCCAGTCTGTACAGTGGGTCTGGATGTGTGGTTTAAGGCCCTTCCTGCTCTGGACCCGTAGTGAAGTGGTGCCTGGAAGGGTTTGGCCAGGAGAGAGGGATAGAAGAAGGGAGAGGCCAGAGATCATTGACCGGTGACCACATTGCCCGTGTGAGGCCGAAATGAGATCTTGGTGTGCAGCAGGTGCCGTCCTGGTGCTGCGTCCCAGGGTGGCTTGGGGTCAAGGATTCCCTGGGCTCCACCCCACCCCCGTTAGCTTCAGGGCGGGACCCTGGGGCCTCAGGGAGCTAGACTACTGCTGCCTCAAACCCCAAGGGACGTGTTGGACGGGAGGGGCCTGGGGGCAGAAGAGTGGGCTGTGCCCCCAGGAGGACAGGGACCTGGGGGAGGGACAGGACGCAGCCCTGGGCCTCTGGCCATGCAGCCCTCCCTTCCTGTTGTCTCAGGATGGCCCCGGCAGGATGCATCTGCCAGAGTTCCAGACCCAGACCTCCCCTGGGGCCTGCTCCCACCCACACCGGGATCCCACCACATACACACTCATGTGTGAACACACGCCAGCATGTCCGAGATACACAAACATGCATGCATGTTTGCACATACGCAGGAAGCCACACACACCACTCAGACATAGGCACACACAGACTCACACACCCAGGCCTACAGTTACAGATGCACATGGAGGCACGCGTGTGCACACACACACACACACACACACACACACACACACACCACCTCACGGGGAGGAGGGTGTGGGGGCAGCAGGGCTGAGTCCTGCAGGACAGAAGGCCCAGCCCGGCCAGCCTACAGTCTCTGGCTGATGGTGGGTTTCAGCCAGATGAGGCGGGTTTATTTGTATGTCTGAGGAAGAGCCCTGTGAGAAGACCTGGGGGTGTCTAGGGAGGCCTGGGCAGGGAGAGCCCGGAGGAGGCTGGGGCAGCCAGCAGGGTCTGTGAGGGTGCGAGAAGCTGAGGAGCGAAAGGACACCTGTGAGGTGACACCACGTGGCCTGGGAAGGGGCGAGGCCCCTGGCAGAGAGCAGGCAGGAGGGGGCGAGGCCCCTGGCAGAGAGCAGGCAGGAGGGGGCGAGGCCTGCGTGGTTCGGGGAGGACCTGGGATGTGCGGACCCTCTGGGAAGCAGCGGGTGTAGGGCTGCAGTTCAGGAGGGAGGGCCTCAGGCAGCAGCACTGCAGGGGCCGTGATGTGGAGGTGACACACTCCAGCGCCCCTCCCCCGCTCCTTCATGCCAGCCGCTCAGCTCACCGGGGTCAGAGGTTGGGGTTAGGTCCAGGGCCGGTGTGTAGCTGAGGATGGGGGCTGTGGGGCAAGGCAGGGTGCGCCTGTGGGAGAGGTTCGTGGCTGTCTTGGCGCCTGGGAGCTGGTGCTGCTCACGGCGCACATGGTGAGGCCAGGCCACGCGGTGCTGGCTGAGAACCTGAGCTGCTCCGGCCCTGCAGGGGTCTGCGCTTGCGATGCAGAATGCCCAGCCATGCCCCATCAACGTCGTGCCAAGTCACAGCCCAGCACCACGCTGACCCTGTCTCCCACCCCAGGCCTGGTGAGTGGCTACTCCATGACCCCCCCGACCTTGAACATCACGGAGGAGTCACACGTCATCGACACCGGTGACAGCCTGTCCATCTCCTGCAGGTACTGGGTCCCTCTCCCACTGGCAGGCCAGAGAGGCTGCACAAGCCCAAGGCAGGAGGTGGTGGCTGTGGGCCCAGATGGCAGCCCCCTCCCAGGGCAGAGTCAGGGCAGAGTGGCCTCGGGGCCGTGTGGTCTCCCAGGCTGTGGGTGACTTCGGTCCTCCCCAGCCTCAACCACACACCCCCATCAGCATTTCTTTTTTTTTTTCTGAGATGGAGTCTCACTCTGTCACCCAGGCTGGAGTGCAGTGGTGCGATCTCGGCTCACTGCAAGCTCTGCCTCCCGGGTTCACGCCATTCTCCTGCCTCAGCCTCCCAAGTAGCTGGGACTACAGGTGCCCGCCACCACGCCCGGCTAATTTTTTGTATTTGTAGTAGAGACGGGGTTTCACCGTGTTAAGCAGGATGGTCTTGATCTCCTGACCTCGTAACCCACCCACCTCAGCCTCCCAAAGTGCTGGGATTACAGGCGTGAGCCACTGTGCCCAGCCCACCCCATCAGCATTTCATATGGGGCCTCATCACCCTGCACCCCACTCCTGACACCTCACACTGACCCCAGGCCACCTCCCAGGTCATCTGCATCCACTCCCAGCCACCCTGGGAGCACCCACTGGGGCCCCAGAGATGGGTACCTCCCCACCTTCCCAGCTGTGATCCAAGGCCTGTGCTTGGCCACAGGCCAGCCCCGGGAGCCTGGTAGAGGCCCGGGGGTCGGGGAGTGCCCTGCCCTGGGCACGGTCTGTAGTGTGCGCCCAAACCCTGGGCAGTTCCATGCTCTGGGTAAGACAAACCTGGTGAGGCTCGGCCTGAGGGAGGCTTCTCAGGGACAGTCCCCATGGGCTGCCCTGGGGCCCACCTGACCACTCCTGTCCTCTGCCAGGGGACAGCACCCCCTCGAGTGGGCTTGGCCAGGAGCTCAGGAGGCGCCAGCCACCGGAGACAAGGACAGCGAGGACACGGGGGTGGTGCGAGACTGCGAGGGCACAGACGCCAGGCCCTACTGCAAGGTGTTGCTGCTGCACGAGGTACATGCCAACGACACAGGCAGCTACGTCTGCTACTACAAGTACATCAAGGCACGCATCGAGGGCACCACGGCCGCCAGCTCCTACGTGTTCGTGAGAGGTGAGACTTGGAGGCGGGCCAGGCTGGAGCAGGGTCCCGGGCAGCTGGGGCCCACACCGCCCCCAGCCTGTGGACCCTGGGCTGGCAGGAGGAGAGAACGGGGCCCTACCTGCTCCAGCGGGTGGCTGGTTCAGGACCAGCACCACCCAGCCCCGTGGAGCCCTCCCCCAGCCTGGCCGCCACGTCCCTTCCCCAACAGCTTGCTCCCTCTCCATAGACTTTGAGCAGCCATTCATCAACAAGCCTGACACGCTCTTGGTCAACAGGAAGGACGCCATGTGGGTGCCCTGTCTGGTGTCCATCCCCGGCCTCAATGTCACGCTGCGCTCGGTACGGCCCCACCCCAACCCCAGCATCCGACCCTCCCATCCCACCCCTGGGAAAGGCGGCCGCCTGTCTGGCCAGGAGCAAGGGGCAGCTGGGCAATGATGGTGGCCTTGTCCCTCCAGCAAAGCTCGGTGCTGTGGCCAGACGGGCAGGAGGTGGTGTGGGATGACCGGCGGGGCATGCTCGTGTCCACGCCACTGCTGCACGATGCCCTGTACCTGCAGTGCGAGACCACCTGGGGAGACCAGGACTTCCTTTCCAACCCCTTCCTGGTGCACATCACAGGTAACAGGGCTGTGCCCCGTTCCCAGTAACGGGGCTGTCACTGCCTCACTGGCCTCAGTGGGTGTCGTCCTGTGAGGGCGTGGGAGTCACTGTGTGCGTGTCAACAGGCAACGAGCTCTATGACATCCAGCTGTTGCCCAGGAAGTCGCTGGAGCTGCTGGTAGGGGAGAAGCTGGTCCTGAACTGCACCGTGTGGGCTGAGTTTAACTCAGGTGTCACCTTTGACTGGGACTACCCAGGGAAGCAGGTGAGGTCAGCAGCGCTGCCAGGCTGTCCTGTCCCCAGGAGTCCCTGTGACTGTACAGCACACACTGGGCCTCCGCGTGGAGGATGTGTGGGCCCAGGCCTGCCCCAGGGGCCCCGGTCTGAGTGGCAAGTGTTCCACCCAAAGAAAACTCAGGGCCTGGGTCCAGGGCTTCCGGAGCCACCGCTGGCTGGGCTGGGAGGTGTGCCTTCGGTGGGGTAGCTGTGCAGGAGCCCGCCTGCTGACGCGGGGCTTCCCTGGGTGCGGGCAGGCAGAGCGGGGTAAGTGGGTGCCCGAGCGACGCTCCCAGCAGACCCACACAGAACTCTCCAGCATCCTGACCATCCACAACGTCAGCCAGCACGACCTGGGCTCGTATGTGTGCAAGGCCAACAACGGCATCCAGCGATTTCGGGAGAGCACCGAGGTCATTGTGCATGGTATGGCCTGGGAAACCAGGGTCCTTGTGCCCTGTGGGCCTGGGCCCAGAGCTCACGGTGCCCTTGAGCACTCAGGAGTCCAGCCAGAGGGAAGGGAGGGCCACGAGCAGAGGAGCTGCCCAGCTCCTGCACCGGGCGGCATGGCCAGCCCCAGTCTGCGGATGTCCGGCTGCCGGGGCTGCAGGGGCCGTGGGGGGAGTCCCTGGTCAGTCCACGACGGGTCAGTCCTGGATTTACAGTGACTTCTCCTGTCCGGCAGAAAATCCCTTCATCAGCGTCGAGTGGCTCAAAGGACCCATCCTGGAGGCCACGGCAGGAGACGAGCTGGTGAAGCTGCCCGTGAAGCTGGCAGCGTACCCCCCGCCCGAGTTCCAGTGGTAACAGCCCTGGCTCCCCACCGACCCCGCCGATACCCTTCCAAGTCCAGGGGCAAAACAGACCATAGGGGAAGACGGGCAGCGTCCTCCCCGTCAGGACCTGCACACGGAGACCAGGCATGGCGGGGGCCTCTCTCAGGAGACCCCCCAAGGAACCCGCCCATAATGTGATATTTCAGATGGAAGGTCTGTCTGTTCCTGCCACACTGTGAAAGGTTTCAGTACCAGCCTTCTGTTACATGTGGGTGTGGTGGGCACAGCGAGGGGCTTTTCCTAACTGCCTCCTGACCGCTGGGCCCCTCTCTGCCCTGCAGAATCTCCAGGGCCTGCCCTGCAGCAATGGCTTAGCGTTCCCTATGCCTCCTTTTGCGAGGCTGCCTCTCCCAGGACCCTTCTGTCCAGAAATTTGGAGATGCCACAGGGAATTGACAGATTGCCTGGGCTGGGCCTGTGCTGCACGGCAGCGAGCGAGAGAGCTTCCAGGAGGCCGACAAGCTGCTGGAGTCCCCGCAGATCCCCGATCTGCAAGCGTGTGCTGCGGCCCAGAGAAGGGAGGCCTCAGGGGTGGCCCTGTCTCCGCTGGCTACTCCCTGCAGGCTCTGGGGGGGCATGGCACCCCTCACAAACACGTCCTCAGGCCGTCTGAGTCATCCACATGGCTCACCCACAGTCAGTCACACTTTGAGTCCCCATTGCATAGACGAGGAAGCAGAGGCTAGGAAAGGGTATTCCTAACTGATCGCCAATTCCCCAGGAGGGGTCTCTGCACTGAGCTAGCCCAAGAGCCTCCTTCTCTTCAGCCTGGGCACCTCCCTCCTGGCAGGGCAACTTTTCCTGGAGCTGGGCAAGCAGAGGCCCAGGGTTTCCTCAGCCAGGGCCCCTTGCACTGGCTGGGGGCTCGTCTCTCCTGGGATGGAAGGCCCAGGGTGTCCTGGCCCTGAGCCCAGTGTGACCCTCCCACTGAGGACACAGACTTCGGTGTCCATCCAAGGCACCTGGTCAGTGCCAAGGCCCTTGGGGCAGAGTCCTGAGGGCACTGGCAGATCCTGGAGCCTCACTCACGGGTACAGCTCCTGGAGACCCCTGGGCCCTGTCCCCTGCCCTCCAAGGCCACCATTACTGAGCCTGCTCTGGGCAGGTGGCAGCTCTGTTGCGTCCAGGGTCTACCCAGTCCTCAGGCAGCTGCCTCTCAGAACAGCTTTCCACTGGCTCACTCCTGCCACATCTGGCTCTCTTCCTATGGCAGCCACCCACCCTTCCTGTGGTGCCCACCCTTCCTATGGCACCAGCACATGACGATGGCGAGCACTGACTGGGTGGACGGTCTAGCAAACACACAGATGGGCTGGTCCTTGGCTTCCGAAGCACCCGCAGTGTGTCCAGCACGCTGCTGTCACTGTCCGGGTTAAACCTCACGACAGCTGCAAGGTGCATGTCATCTCCATTGAGGCAATGAAGGAGTCTCAGATCCAGCAAGTGGCAGACTCAGGACCAGAGCCATGCAGACAGCACCACCTCAGTTCCGCCCCTGCCCTGCCCTGCCTCACTCTGCGACCCCAGGCCAGGCACTCCCCCCGGGCCCCTGCTGTGATGTCCAAGTTGAGAATGGGCCCCTGCCTCCCCTTCTCTGTTGGTCTCTGCCCGAGGGCTGTGCCTCTCCCAGGACACAGTGGTGTATCTCTGGCCTGCCACACCCAGCACCAGGGGCAGGCACCTGTCCAAAGGAGGAGCATCTCCATACAGAGTCCAGGCCACAGAGACAGGTGCCTGCAGGGGCCCCAGCACACCCTCTGGGGCTGAGGCATCTGCTTCCTCACGTGTGCAGCAGACATGTAGGCATCTGGGCGCAACTCTGCAGGAGGCAGCACTGCCCTCGTGGGGCTCCCAGCCCAGGGGGACGATGGGCAAACAGACACAGCAAGGCAGGGGCAGGCCACAGCATAGGACAGTCAGGAAGGCTGCACGCCCCCACCCAAATGAAGGAGGCAGGGAACCCTGCAGATTCCTGGCTACAGAAATGAGTGTCCCAGCGAGGCAGGCAGTGAGAGCCAGGCCTGGGGGCGGGGTGTGGGCAGCAAGAAGCCCACATGTCTGCAGGGGCCACGCACATGTCAAGGAGCTAGACTGTGCTCGCAGGGACTGCACCTCCACTCCTTCAGGTGTCTAAGAAAGAGGACGGGGTCTCCAGGCCGTGCCCAGCTGGGTGGAGGAACCAGGTGTGTGGGACCCTCCTGGGCTGGGCTGGGCAAGCCTGGCTGAAGAAGGCTGTCTGCAGCCACAGGCAGGGAGAGAAGGCGGCTGCCCCAGCAGTGACATGGTCATCTCACTACTTGTGGAGAGTTCAGAGGCTTTGGGGCAAGGCAGGAGGTGCTACTGCAGACCTCAGTGACCAATGCCCGAGCCGGCCGCCTGACACGGTTGTCACACCTGGCAGATACGGCCTGGAGACCATCTCCAGGGACTTAGACCATCCCCTCGCAGACCAGTGTTCCCCGTCCTACCCTGCACTCCTGCCAGCCCCTCCCTCCTCCCAACTGTATTTGGGGTGGGGGTGCCAGCATGAGGTTGGGGCTGTGGTGGGATCTGTATGGGCCCTGACCTCCCTTCCCTGGCCAGGTACAAGGATGGAAAGGCACTGTCCGGGCGCCACAGTCCACATGCCCTGGTGCTCAAGGAGGTGACAGAGGCCAGCACAGGCACCTACACCCTCGCCCTGTGGAACTCCGCTGCTGGCCTGAGGCGCAACATCAGCCTGGAGCTGGTGGTGAATGGTAGGTCAGGGACGGGAGAGCGCACGGGTGGGCGGCCTGGCATTGGAGGCCAGCTGACCGGCCATCTGTGTGCCCACAGTGCCCCCCCAGATACATGAGAAGGAGGCCTCCTCCCCCAGCATCTACTCGCGTCACAGCCGCCAGGCCCTCACCTGCACGGCCTACGGGGTGCCCCTGCCTCTCAGCATCCAGTGGCACTGGCGGCCCTGGACACCCTGCAAGATGTTTGCCCAGCGTAGTCTGTGAGTACAGCTCCAGCCTCAGGTCCCCTGCACAGCCACAGCCCCCAGCCTCAGCCATGAGGAACCTCCTTTACAGCACCCCTCACTGCCCAGGTCTTCCCTGTACCCCTTCTCAGGGCCCTGCTCTGAACTTGAACCCTACCTTCAGCTATAGCCAATCCCTGGCCTCACCTCGCCTGAGTGAGGCTCAGAGCCTCCCTTGCACCCATCCTCCATCAGCTGGCCAAGCTGGACACAGGATGGGTCTGGCCCCTGCCCACCTCCCTCAAGAGCGAAGACCTCTGGACACGTAATTGCATCATCTGGAGGGAGAAGGAAGCACATGTCTCTGAGCACCCAGCAGGACACCTCCAGCGGGGTGGGGACCTGGGGGGGTGTCACCTGAGCCCCTGGGATGGTTGCACTGAGCCCCACGGCACACCATGTGTGCTCATGGGCCTCAGCTCATCTGTGCACCACTCACATCCCCTTAGAGACAGGGAAATAGGGTCAGAGAAGGGAGGCGGCTTTCCCAGGGGCACAGCTGTAAGCAACAGGACCCAGCCACCTGCTGAGCCGTGCTCCCCTCCACTGAGCGGGATGCCAGCAGGACATTTAGACAAGCAGGGGGTGAGAGGAGGACGCCCAGGTGGGCAGGGCTTGAAGGCACTAGGGAGCCAGTGAAGGGTGTTGAGAAGTGGAGACATGGCTCAGGTTTGCCTTTTAGCAAGAGATTCCTAGTATCAAACTGGGGCGGGATGGGAGCTGGGAACCTACATGGGAGATGAGGGTAGCCCCACTGGCTGTGGCTCTGGTGTGGTCAGTGGGGGAGGCTCAGTAGGGGTGGCATGAGCCGGCCCCAGATGTCCAAGGTTCATAGGTATTCTTCTAGATCGTGCGGCATGCAGCTCACTGCCAGCACCTCCAAATGTCCTTCCTTCTGGGTGTGCCACCTGTATGCTCTGTGCCAAGTGATGGAGCCCTTCGGGGGGTCCCTGCTCGGCTCCTCCACAGGGGCAGATATGAGCCTCCCTTGGGGCCCTGAGACTACCCCCCCAATCCTGGCAGGAGGCCAAGCTTGCTGGGGATGCACACCCTGCCCAGAGGGAGGCCGCAGCTCCTAAAGCAGGAGAGAGGGAGAGGCTGGGCAGAGATGCCTCCGGGGGCAGCATGGGACTGTGCTGGGCCTGCAGCCATGTGGGCAGATCCCAGGTGGCCTCTGCAGGAAGGGGCACAGAGAAGCGGGACAGAGTGCACATGTGCCTGAGGGACAGTGGGCACAGGAAGCTGGTGTTGGCAGCCTGTGTAGGATGGGTTGCCGGGTCCTGAGCCTGAAGGGTGGGAGACAGAGCTCCAGAAACAGGCCGGGCTCGGTGGCTCACGCCTGTAATCCCAGCGCTTTGGGAGGCCAAGGCAGACCAATCACCTGAGGTCAGGAGTTCGAGACCAGCTGACCAACATGGAGAAACCCCGACTCTACTGAAAATACAAAAAAAATAGCCAGGCGTGGTGGCACATGCCTATAATCCCAGCTACTTGGGAGGCTGAGGCAGGAGAATCGCTTGAACCCAGGAGGCGGAGGTTTCGGTGAGCTGAGATTGTGCCATTGCAGTCCAGCCTGGGCAACAAGAGTGAAACTCCGTCTCAAAAAAAAAAAAAAAACACCAAAGTCCCCTTCCCATCTCCCTCACCCAGGCCCGAGGGCCAGCCTCGCCCACGACCCCATATGAGAAGGTGACTGGATATGACAAGGGCTTGACCCCGCCCCCCATGTGGGCCCTTCCTGCCTGTATCCCTGACCTGCCCTTGCCTCTTCTGGTCCTGGCAGCCGGCGGCGGCAGCAGCAAGACCTCATGCCACAGTGCCGTGACTGGAGGGCGGTGACCACGCAGGATGCCGTGAACCCCATCGAGAGCCTGGACACCTGGACCGAGTTTGTGGAGGGAAAGAATAAGGTACAGGCCAGCCGCGCTGCTGAGTGCCCAGGGAGAAGGAGAAGGGAGGAGAGAGAGGCCATTACTGCCATGTGGTTTCCACCTGGCTTCCAGAGTGCTGGGCAGAGCAGCCGAGAGCGGGTGACCTTCCTGCAGTCTGTAGGCCTCGGCCACCCTGCCTGCAGAAAGGTCAGAGGGCCAGTCTCCGGCTTTGTGATGGAGGGCGGACCTCTGGCGGCTTCCCAGACAAGGAAGCTGACATGCAAGGCCACCTGGCCAGGCCATGAGCCCCTGAGGCCCACAGGCCCCAGGACCAGGAGGGGACAGGGCTGGAGGCTGACCAGGTCTGCACAGAGGGCTGCTGAGCCGCTGGCGCAGCCTGGGGGCAACGCCGAGAAGGGGGTACTGAACAAAGGCACCTACTTCCTCCAGTCACTTCCTGTTTTCCTACACACCTCCAGAGCCTCTTCCTGTTCCAGTCCTGGACAGGAAGTGCCCAGCTGGGGGTGGGGTGGGGGTGGGGGTCTTTGGATGGTAGGCAGGGCCTGTGGCCCTCTCTCCTCCCCTGTGTCTCAGGCTTCCTACTCCCTGAGGCCTCAGTCCTTCTGGGAGCCATCCCCACCCCTCTCAATAACCCTGGGCCTCGGGATTGCTGCTGAGGACAGTTCTGGGCTGAGGAGGCCATCTCACGAGGATCTCAGCAAGCAGCGACTGGATTGGGCCTGACCCCATCCAGAAGTGACTGGCTTTTGCTGTGACCCAGGCTGAATTCTCACCCTGGCTTGCACTGACGCTGGTGCCCCCTCAACATAGCCACGGCCAGAGGTCTCTCTGGTCCTGCCAAAGGCTGCCCTCTGACGTCACTGCAGCCTAGGCCAGCAGTCCATACACTGTCCCTTGACTTTTCTGGGCAGCTACCTCTCTCTGCTGCCCAGGGGCCTTCTCTCCTCTGCCTCACTATCCCTGGTCCTGTGAGTTTTGGTCTTCTCCAGCCCAAAGCCTCAGTTTCCCCCATGATTGGGGGGGGTGGTGCACAGCGACCTCCTTGCAGAAAGACAGGGCCCAGGTTGGGAGAACTTGGGCAGGAAATGGATCCTTGTGCCTGTGCTCTCCCAGACTGTGAGCAAGCTGGTGATCCAGAATGCCAACGTGTCTGCCATGTACAAGTGTGTGGTCTCCAACAAGGTGGGCCAGGATGAGCGGCTCATCTACTTCTATGTGACCAGTGAGTGACCAGACCAGGGCGGGGAGGCCTGGGTACAGGGTCAGGAGGGGGCAGGTTTGGGCTCATTGAGTTTCTGGGGTCTTTGGGACACCCAGGAGAGAGATCCAAGGCCTACCGGTTGTAGACAGGAAAAATAGATTTAAGGGTCACCAGCATAGGGCCTGGGTGCTGGCGCACTGGGATGGAATGGCATCCTCTGTCCCCAACCCTGGGGCTCCTCCCTCAAGGATGCCCTTGGCTCACTGCAGCTCCTCCTAGCTATACCCACTCCCACCCTCCCCTTCCCAAGCCCTGAGACCTTGTGACTCGTGTGAATTTTGCTCTGGGGAGAAGCTCTGTGGTTTACTCAGATTTTCAAATGTGGTAGTGACCTCAGGAGAGCGGAGCCCAGGAGCAGACGTCACTGGGTCCCAGAATGTAGATCAGGGCACCAGCAGAGAGATGTAGATCAGGGCACCAGCAGAGAGATGGAGCCCAAAAGAACACCCGGGGGCTGGGGGGCCACAGGAGCCTGACCAGAAGTGACCAGAGAGACAAGAGGAAGTGGGCGCACGGCACTGGGAAAAGCCAGGGAACACGTTATTTCAGGCTGAGCATGGGGTGGGGCATGGCAAGCTTCAAGAGAGAATGAGGACTCAAGTCCCACTGAGGGTGACAAGGAACTCCTGATGACCTGGGCTTTTGGTGGGGCGGGGGGCAAGCAGTCCAGCTGGGGCCCCTCCAGGAGAGAGGGAGGGAGGGAGGCAGGAGGAGACCCCGGGGCGGCAGGTGGATGGGGGAGCAAACTCCCAGGGCAGTGCCACAGGGCTTCTTCCTCCCTCCACAGCCATCCCCGACGGCTTCACCATCGAATCCAAGCCATCCGAGGAGCTACTAGAGGGCCAGCCGGTGCTCCTGAGCTGCCAAGCCGACAGCTACAAGTACGAGCATCTGCGCTGGTACCGCCTCAACCTGTCCACGCTGCACGATGCGCACGGGAACCCGCTTCTGCTCGACTGCAAGAACGTGCATCTGTTCGCCACCCCTCTGGCCGCCAGCCTGGAGGAGGTGGCACCTGGGGCGCGCCACGCCACGCTCAGCCTGAGTATCCCCCGCGTCGCGCCCGAGCACGAGGGCCACTATGTGTGCGAAGTGCAAGACCGGCGCAGCCATGACAAGCACTGCCACAAGAAGTACCTGTCGGTGCAGGGTGAGGCTGGCCGCGGGGAGGGCGGGGACGCGCTCTCTTCTAGCAGTAGCTGCCTCTGCCTTTGCCCCGGCGTGGCTCGCCCCTGGGAGGTCTATTCACAGCCCTGGCCTGCAGGAGCTACCCCTCCTGACTATCCGCCGCCCCCTGCGGAGGCGCGCCGCGCTCCTGCCCGGCGCACAACCCCTAAGTCCAGCTTCCAGGGATCCTTTTCTACCTCTGCTCCCAGCCCAAAGAGGGTCCTCCTGCTAAGTGCAGCTCCACTTAGCTCCCTCTCGACCCCTGCCCCCAGCCCTGGAAGCCCCTCGGCTCACGCAGAACTTGACCGACCTCCTGGTGAACGTGAGCGACTCGCTGGAGATGCAGTGCTTGGTGGCCGGAGCGCACGCGCCCAGCATCGTGTGGTACAAAGACGAGAGGCTGCTGGAGGAAAAGTCTGGTAGGGAGGGTGGCCCTGGCGAAGGGCAGGTCCGGAGGCCCGCGAGGCCGACGATCCCAAACCCAGGTGGACCCGCACCTCCACCCCACCCCCTGCAGGAGTCGACTTGGCGGACTCCAACCAGAAGCTGAGCATCCAGCGCGTGCGCGAGGAGGATGCGGGACGCTATCTGTGCAGCGTGTGCAACGCCAAGGGCTGCGTCAACTCCTCCGCCAGCGTGGCCGTGGAAGGTCTGGCCTCAGGCTGCACCCCTCAACTCCCTTCCCGTCCCCAGTTAACGCTTTCTTGTGGCCACCTTGGGCAAGTCGTGGCCACCAGAAGGGGTGCTGCCTGCAGGTGCACGCTCTTACACACACACACACACACGCCGGCCCCTTTCTGCCCACGCAGGCTCCGAGGATAAGGGCAGCATGGAGATCGTGATCCTTGTCGGTACCGGCGTCATCGCTGTCTTCTTCTGGGTCCTCCTCCTCCTCATCTTCTGTAACATGAGGAGGGTGAGTGTCCCTCCCCGCTCCTGATGGAGTCTCTCTCAGGCCTTCCCCACCCTGGCCGCCCCTAAGATAAAGAATAAGGTGCCCGCCCTAGTTCACCTGGCAGCCTTGTTTCCTGGGAAGCCTCCCTGCCCTTCACGCTGGGCTCCAACCCCGCAGAGGTTGTCTGTCTTTTTTTCTGTCCCCTCCTTGACTGAGAACCCCGCAGGAAGTGCCATCTGTCCTGGGCAAAGTTCTGCCCAAGCCACAGTGGTATGGCCAAATCAGTGAGCTGCCCCACTCCTCCCTGTCCCCTCCCCGCAGCCGGCCCACGCAGACATCAAGACGGGCTACCTGTCCATCATCATGGACCCCGGGGAGGTGCCTCTGGAGGAGCAATGCGAATACCTGTCCTACGATGCCAGCCAGTGGGAATTCCCCCGAGAGCGGCTGCACCTGGGTGAGGCCAGCACCAGCCTGCCCAACCCACACCTCCTGCCCGACCCACCTGCTGCAGGCCGGAGTGCCTGAATCCCTCCATTTTCAAAACTTGCACCAGGAAGTTCCGCCTGGCCTGACCTGTCCCTGTGGGCGTGGGTACCTAGAACCTCAGCCAGGGTCCCCAGTTCCCAGGCTCCCTGAGGTCACCTGCTGCCACCCTGAGCAGGGTGTATCTGTCACACCTACCCGGGAGGATGCGCGGCCTCCTGTCCACCTCTCCTTGTCTTCCCGCTGTGGCTCCCCACGCTCCTCCTGCTGCCAGGCCTGTCCTCCTGGACCTCTGCACGGGGCTCCCCCGCCGCCCACCTGTCTCCACGCTCACCCCGTACAGCTCACCTGCAACTGGCCCCCTGCCCCGACAGGGAGAGTGCTCGGCTACGGCGCCTTCGGGAAGGTGGTGGAAGCCTCCGCTTTCGGCATCCACAAGGGCAGCAGCTGTGACACCGTGGCCGTGAAAATGCTGAAAGGTGTGGGGTCAGCGGGCGGAAGGGGCAGCCTAGCTGGTGAGGAGCAGCAGCTCGGGGTGGGCCGGTGGGACGGCAACTCGGGAAGGGAGACTGAGGCTGGAAGCCAGTCTCATCCGAGATTCTACAGGGAGGCTGCGGGCTTCAGAGCCGAGGGACCACCCGAACCCCCTCTGCCTCAGTGGGGCCGGCAGGATGTCCTGGGGGCCCTTAGTAACCCTCCCCCTCCCAAAAGCGCCGGGTGGCGGGGAACGGGGACCTGCCAGGGTCGGGGCCGGTGTGAGGCCCGTGTCCCCTCCAGAGGGCGCCACGGCCAGCGAGCACCGCGCGCTGATGTCGGAGCTCAAGATCCTCATTCACATCGGCAACCACCTCAACGTGGTCAACCTCCTCGGGGCGTGCACCAAGCCGCAGGGTACGGAGCGGGCGGCCCGCTGGGACGGCGAGACCCCGGGCGCGGGGCGCCGCGGGCGGGAGGGGGCGCGGGTGCAAACGCGGAGCGCGCCCGCAGCGCGCCCCGGGTTCCGAACGCACGGCCGCCGCCCGGTCCCGCCGCAGGCCCCCTCATGGTGATCGTGGAGTTCTGCAAGTACGGCAACCTCTCCAACTTCCTGCGCGCCAAGCGGGACGCCTTCAGCCCCTGCGCGGTGAGCGGGCGGCCTGCGGGGCGCCGCGGGCGGCGGGGGAATGGAGGCGCCTCTGCGGCGGACGACTGGGCGCCCTCGAGCCAGCTTCGTGCATCCGCAGGAGAAGTCTCCCGAGCAGCGCGGACGCTTCCGCGCCATGGTGGAGCTCGCCAGGCTGGATCGGAGGCGGCCGGGGAGCAGCGACAGGGTCCTCTTCGCGCGGTTCTCGAAGACCGAGGGCGGAGCGAGGCGGGCTTCTCCAGACCAAGAAGGTGAGAGCCTGGCCTCTTCCCTTTTCCTAGTGCCTGACGGGCCCGGTTATATCCCGTGATCAGGCACCCCAGCCTGGGGTCCTCAGCGGGGGCTTTCATGGGAGAGTGTGGAATGGGCTCTGCCTTAGGAAGGGAAGACACCTCGGGGACAATTTTCACACAGATGTTTTACGATTGACTGGGTCATCAGAGGCTGAATAGGAAATTGCCCTGCAGACAAGGCAGGCAGTGGAGGGCCAAGCAGCAGGTGCCCGGCCCCCACAGAGCAACAGTATTTACTGCTCTGGGAGTAGGACGTGGGTGTCCCAGAGGCTGAGGGGCAGGAGAGGGTCCTCTGGAGTAGGACGTGGGTGTCCCAGAGGCTGAGGAGCAGGAGAGGGTGCTCTGGAGTAGGATGTGGGTGTCCCAGAGGCTGAGGGGCAGGAGAGGGTGCTCTGGGAGTAGGACGTGGGTGTCCCAGAGGCTGAGGGGCAGGAGAGGGTGCTCTGGAGTAGGACGTGGGTGTCCCAGAGGCTGAGGGGCAGGAGAGGGTGCTCTGGGAGTAGGACGTGGGTGTCCCAGAGGCTGAGGGGCAGGAGAGGGTGCTCTGGAATAGGATGTGGGTGTCCCAGAGGCTGAGGGGCAGGAGAGGGTGCTCTGGAATAGGATGTGGGTGTCCCAGAGGCTGAGGGGCAGGAGAGGGTGCTCTGGGAGTAGGACGTGGGTGTCCCAGAGGCTGAGGGGCAGGAGAGGGTGCTCTGGAGTAGGATGTGGGTGTCCCAGAGGCTGAGTGGCAGGAGAGGGTACTCTGGAATAGGATGTGGGTGTCCCAGAGGCTGAGGGGCAGGAGAGGGTGCTCTGGGAGTAGGACGTGGGTGTCCCAGAGGCTGAGTGGCAGGAGAGGGTGCTCTGGAATAGGACGTGGGTGTCCCAGAGGTTGAGGGGCAGGAGAGGGTGCTCTGGGAGTAGGACGTGGGTGTCCCAGAGGCTGAGGGGCAGGAGAGGGTGCTCTGGAATAGGACGTGGGTGTACCAGAGGCTGAGGGGCAGGAGAGGGTGCTCTGGAGTAGGACGTGGGTGTCCCAGAGGCTGAGGGGCAGGAGAGGGTGCTCTGGAGTAGGACGTGGGTGTCCCAGAGGCTGAGGGGCAGGAGAGGGTGCTCTGGAATAGGACGTGGGTGTCCCAGAGGCTGAGGGGCAGGAGAGGGTGCTCTGGAGTAGGACGTGGGTGTCCCAGAGGCTGAGGGGCAGGAGAGGGTGCTCTGGAGTAGGACGTGGGTGTCCCAGAGGCTGAGGGGCAGGAGAGGGTGCTCTGGAGTAGGACGTGGGTGTCCCAGAGGCTGAGGGGCAGGAGAGGGTGCTCTGGAGTAGGATGTGGGTGTCCCAGAGGCTGAGGGGCAGGAGAGGGTGCTCTGGAGTAGGACGTGGGTGTCCCAGAGTCTGAGGGGCAGGAGAGGGTGCTCTGGAGTAGGACGTGGGTGTCCCAGAGTCTGAGGGGCAGGAGAGGGTGCTCTGGAGTAGGACGTGTGTGTCCCAGAGGCTGAGGGGCAGGAGAGGGTGCTCTGGAGTAGGACGTGGGTGTCCCAGAGGCTGAGGGGCAGGAGAGGGTGCTCTGGAGTAGGATGTGGGTGTCCCAGAGGCTGAGGGGCAGGAGAGGGTGCTCTGGAGTAGGATGTGGGTGTCCCAGAGTCTGAGGGGCAGGAGAGGGGCTGACATGCTTGTTAGCTGTTCCCTGGGGCTGGGTAGATGGAGGCCGCGGAGGAGGCGCCTCCTGAGCCCACCTGGCTCCACTGTGTAGCTGAGGACCTGTGGCTGAGCCCGCTGACCATGGAAGATCTTGTCTGCTACAGCTTCCAGGTGGCCAGAGGGATGGAGTTCCTGGCTTCCCGAAAGGTGAGCTTCCCCCGAAGGCCCTTCAGACGGGAAAAGGGTGCATCCCCACCAGTCGCCAAGAAGTGCTTGGTACTGGCCTCACCCTGCAATGGCTCTGTGGTCCATCAGTGTCTCTCCCACTTTGCAGAGGAGGAAACTCTGCCCAAAGCATGGAGTTGACCTCCCAAGGTCTCTTGGCTGGTCAGCAGCAGAGTCTGTTTGACTCCACAACTTTCTCTGCTGTCCCCACAATTCCACAAGCTCTCTCCATGATGAGTCCTGGAGATGGATGGGAATCCTTCCCCAAAGGAGCACAGTTCAGGCAGGGCATCCCCATGGTCCCCACTGCTTGGGCACCCTGGAGTTTCGGGTGTGGGTATTACCCCAGGGGCCTGCACTGACAGCCCCCCTGCCGCCTCCCCGCACCCCAGTGCATCCACAGAGACCTGGCTGCTCGGAACATTCTGCTGTCGGAAAGCGACGTGGTGAAGATCTGTGACTTTGGCCTTGCCCGGGACATCTACAAAGACCCCGACTACGTCCGCAAGGGCAGTGTGAGTGCAGGCCATTGAGGAGAGGGAACGTGGGGCGGAACAGGTGAAGGGGTGGGACCACAGACTGCCTGTCCAGGAGAGGGAGGGCTGGCACAGGGTGAGGTGAGCTCCTTGGTTGGCCAGCCATGTGCCCAGCTGCTGGTGGACCTCCTGCCCCCAGGGGACCCTACTGACCACCCCCCACCTTAGGCATCTTGGGGCAAGGAAGTGGAGAAGGGAGGTGACCGGCAGGCCCAGTGCTCCGAAAGGAAGTGGAGAAGGGAGGTGACCGGCAGGCCCAGTGCTCCGAAAGGAAGTGGAGAAGGGAGGTGACCGGCAGGCCCAGTGCTCCGAAAGGAAGTGGAGAAGGGAGGTGACCGGCAGGCCCAGTGCTCCGAAAGGAAGTGGAGAAGGGAGGTGACCGGCGGGGCCCAGTGCTCCGAAAGGAAGTGGAGAAGGGAGGTGACCGGCGGGGCCCAGTGCTCCGAAAGGAAGTGGAGAAGGGAGGTGACCGGCAGGCCCAGTGCTCCGAAAGGAAGTGGAGAAGGGAGGTGACCGGCAGGCCCAGTGCTCCGAAAGGAAGTGGAGAAGGGAGGTGACCGGCGGGGCCCAGTGCTCCGAAAGGAAGTGGAGAAGGGAGGTGACCGGCGGGCCCAGTGCTCCGAAAGGAAGTGGATTTCGGAAGTGGAGAAGGGAGGTGACCGGCAGGCCCAGTGCTCCGAAAGGAAGTGGAGAAGGGAGGTGACCGGCGGGCCCAGTGCTCCGAAAGGAAGTGGAGAAGGGAGGTGACCAGCGGGACCCAGTGCTCCGAAAGGAAGTGGAGAAGGGAGGTGACCGGCGGGCCCAGTGCTCCGAAAGGAAGTGGAGAAGGGAGGTGACCGGCGGGGCCCCAGTGCTCCGAAAGACAGTGGATTTCGGAAGTGGAGAAGGGAGGTGACCGGCGGGCCCAGTGCTCCGAAAGGAAGTGGAGAAGGGAGGTGACCAGCGGGACCCAGTGCTCCGAAAGGAAGTGGATTTCGGAAGTGGAGAAGGGAGGTGACCAGCGGGGCCCAGTGCTCCGAAAGGAAGTGGAGAAGGGAGGTGACCGGCGGGGCCCAGTGCTCCGAAAGGAAGTGGATTTCGGAAGTGGAGATGGGAGTTGACCAGCGGGGCCCAGTGCTCCAAAAGGAAGTGGAGAAGGGAGGTGACCAGCGGGGCCCAGTGCTCCGAAAGGAAGTGGAGAAGGGAGGTGACCAGCGGGGCCGCAGTGCTCCGATTGGAGCTTGTTCTGATTGGAGCTTGTCTTTGCCCCGCGCCTTGCTCCGTGCGGTGGGTCCTGACTCCCAGGGCCTGCCCTATGGAGCCTGAGAGTG
Organism: Homo sapiens; assembly: GCF_000001405.40. NCBI lineage: Eukaryota > Metazoa > Chordata > Mammalia > Primates > Hominidae > Homo > Homo sapiens. The sequence goes on along the minus strand of NC_000005.10, from coordinate 180,615,035 downwards.
CAAAGCATTCTGTGGTGTCTGTCCTGGAGATGGACCCGCTTGGTGCAGTATGTGGAACTCAGGAGGCGGAGTGTCTTGTGAATGGAGCTCAGGCAGGGCAGCAGGTGCCTGGATGAGCCTCCAAGGCGGGTCAGGGTTCCGCGCCTGGGGGAGAAAGGGTGTCAGAGGGGGAGGAGCAGGATGGGCCCAGGGCCTGGTCTTGATGAGCCATCCAGCCCAGCATGGCCGCTGGTTGGAGGGAAGTGTCAGGTTGTCTGCAGTTACAAAAACCTCCCTTATGCCGTAAGCTGGGAAGAGAGGGGAGTGGGGGTGCTGGGGTGGAGGTAGAGGCCAGTCCAGAAGGGCCCTGGCCCTCAGGGCTCCCAGGTAGAGACCATGAGAGGGAGAGAGACAGCCGGCGGCGGAGATGCCTCAGGAGCCCAGGAGGAGGGTGTCAGGAGTGATGGCCCGGCTTCCAGGGTGGGGACAGTGAGTGGACAGAGCGTGCTTGTCAGGGGAGATGGTGAGAGTGTGCAGGGGTGCGTTTCATCAGGAGGCTGCGCTGGAGGTCTAGGGCTGGAGGAAGGTGTACAGTCTACCCCGATACCCCTCCCCTGAGAGCTGGGAGGGAGAGGGGCCCAGACAGACCCAGGAGAACAGCAGCAGGGAGATACCTTCAACCCAGGCAGAGGACCCTGTTAGGGGGTGCCAGAGCATCTGGCCTCAGCCCTCTCTTCCCATCCACCACGGGACACGCTTCCCTCCGTCTCCCCATCCACCGCAGGACACGCTTCCCTCCGTCTCCCCATCCACCACGGGACACGCTTCCCTCCGTCTCCCCATCCACCACGGGACAAGCTTCCCTCTGTCTCCCCAGGCCCGGCTGCCCCTGAAGTGGATGGCCCCTGAAAGCATCTTCGACAAGGTGTACACCACGCAGAGTGACGTGTGGTCCTTTGGGGTGCTTCTCTGGGAGATCTTCTCTCTGGGTGAGTGCAGGATGGGGTGCCGGTGGGGAGAGGAGGCGAGGTCACTGGCGGCAGGTTACATGACCGCCCCTGCTGGAGTAAGGGACTGGGCACCTGGAGGTGTGTGCCAGGTCGTTCTGAAGCAGGTGGTTTGTGGGCCACCAAGGGCCCCCCACCTCTCCCCAGCCTGGCCCAGCCTCCGAGAGGACTTTGCCTCCAACGTGGGCCACCCTCTGTGGGGTGCACATTGAAGCCTGAGCCAGGACTGAGCCTTTTCACATGGCAGCCCCAGAGGGAGCTCAGTGCCCAGTCAGCAGACGTGCCTACTCCAAGAGCTCCAAGAGCTCCATGTGGGAACTCAGGCCCCGCTGCGAGCATGATGAAGTCTCCAGGCCAGGGTAGGGCAGTGAACTTGAAAAAGTTAAAATGTCACCAAGTGGCAACTGATCCACGCTACTGCGGAAACTAAAGGAGCAGGAAGAGTGTAGGAGGCGTGGGAGCTCGGGTAAGCCAGAGGGGCCCAAGGAGGGAGTTCAGCAGTCCAGGACGGGGAGCAGCAGGGGTTGGGAGGAGCAGCAGGGGTTGGGGGGAGCAGCAGGGGTTGGGGGGAGCAGCAGGAGAAGCAGCGAGAAGCAAGAGAGGCTTTGTTGAAACTGCCTGCAGGCGGCTCCCCCGCCGCTGATGATCCAGTAACCATGATGTCTACCGTGTCGCCAGTGGGTGGATGCTCTTGGCACCCCTAGCAAGCAGGCGGCACAGTCCTCTTTTAACCAAATGAACTAGAGCTGGGGAGGGCAGCGACTTGCCCACAGGTCCCAGGTAGAGCACAGTCGGGTGAGCCATCTCCACCCCACCACGGATGGGGAAAGGGACAGGACGGGGTGACTTGATGGGGAAGGGACAGGATGGGGTGACTTGGGGGGCTGGGCTGAGCCGCAGGAGGCTTGCTCCCCACCCACCTCCCCTTCCTGTTGTCAGGGGCCTCCCCGTACCCTGGGGTGCAGATCAATGAGGAGTTCTGCCAGCGGCTGAGAGACGGCACAAGGATGAGGGCCCCGGAGCTGGCCACTCCCGCCATGTGAGCCTCCCCATGGCCCTGCAGGTTTTGGGGACAGCAAGCGTCGGGGGCGTGGGGGTTGTGTCCATGAGAAGGTGGCATCAGGGAAGCCAGGGCCAGTAGGACAGGCCTGGGCACCACCCTCAAGATACACGGGTAGTCTGTAGCACAGCTGCACCAGGAGGACACCAGGAGGGAAGGCCGGGCGCTGTCGGAACAGAGCCGAGTGTTCAGGGAAAGCATCACCAGGAGGGGACGCTGGGCTAACACTTGAAGGAGGAACGAGGGTAGCTGGACAAGAGTGGGAGACGTGTCAGGAGGAGGGCAGAGTGGGTGAGAGGGCCCAGGAAGGCTGGGGCACTGAAGGTCCTGGGACGGGGGTGGGGTGCATGCAGTCCAGCAGCCCACGTGATCCTGCAGACGCCGCATCATGCTGAACTGCTGGTCCGGAGACCCCAAGGCGAGACCTGCATTCTCGGAGCTGGTGGAGATCCTGGGGGACCTGCTCCAGGGCAGGGGCCTGCAAGTGAGCCCCTTCCCCACCCTGTTCTACTATGGCCTTTGGCCCCTGCCCTGGGTCCCTGGCCCGAGCTGCCCCTCCAAGCCCATCTAGGCTCTGCCCACCTCTCAGCTGCTAGGCTAGGGTGGTGGGGTCCTGGGCCCCTATCCACACCTCGTCCCCACACCCTTGCATCTTTCTGTTGAGTACACACCCGCTGCACAGCTCCACTGCCTGCTCCAGGTGCTGTGTGGATAGTCAGAGCCTGTCCCTGCGCGAGGGGAATCCTAGGCTGGTCCCCCCCGGCCTGTGAGGCAGCCCCATCTCCCTGGCATCGTCATGATGTATTCCTTCACCTGGTGCCAGTTCTGTCCCCCACTCCACTGAACACACGGACCCTTGACCTGTGTGTGCTGACATCTCTCCCTCCCCACGTGGTGCTCCTCCAGGGTGGGGGATGGAGCCGGCTTGTGACCCAGCTCAAGGTGGGGCCTGGAGCAAGAAGCAGGGGGTGGCCTGTTGCCCAGGCCTTAGGGACTGGGATGGGTGCTGCGGGTCTAGTTCCATCCAAAGAAGAAGGTAGGGAGTGCTGGCCCCAGTTCCTGAGGCTGCCAGCTCAGCTAGGGACTGGAGGAGGGATGATCCGGCTGAGCCCCAGCCTGCCCCACCTGCCTCATCCATAAATGTACCTGGAAGGGCTGTTGGGAGAACTTAGCGAGGCTGGCACAGCCAGCATTCTGCTACCTTGACCCCTTATCTGTCTTGATGGCTGAGATGTGCTGGTTTCTGGCATGAGCTCGTTTCCTCTGTGGAGCACTCACGTGCCCGCATGGTCTGTTAGGGCCCTATCTCAGGGGTCAGGAGCCCAAGCAGTCCCGAGGGCAGAGCGAGGGCTGAGGGCAGGGCGAGGGCGGGGGCGAGAGCTGAGTGCGGGGGCGAGGGCTGAGGGCGGGGGTGAGGGCTGAGGGCGGGGGTGAGGGCTGAGGGTGGGGGCGAGGGCTGAGGGCAGTGGCTGGTGGTTTCTGGCCTGGCTGCCTCTCCTGTTCCCGCCAGGAGGAAGAGGAGGTCTGCATGGCCCCGCGCAGCTCTCAGAGCTCAGAAGAGGGCAGCTTCTCGCAGGTGTCCACCATGGCCCTACACATCGCCCAGGCTGACGCTGAGGACAGCCCGCCAAGCCTGCAGCGCCACAGCCTGGCCGCCAGGTCAGCTGTCCTGCAGGTCCAGGAGTAGGGTGGGAGAAAGCCATGTGGACAAGGTGCATTTTATCCCTCTGCGTCATCGGGGAAAAGCAAATCATGCGACGTCAGAGGCCAGTGTGCACAAACTCAGAGCACAGAGTGGCTTTAAATGACCCACTGCAGGGTCCTTCCACGGCCGTGTGGCCTGGCTGCGTGCTTGTTTTTGAGTCCTGTCCACCCACCAGTGTCCCCTCACCCCAACATCAAGGGTACTTTTTATTTATTTATTTATTTTTTTGAGACGGAGTCTCGCTCTGTCGCCCAGGCTGGAGTGCAGTGGCGCGATCTCGGCTCACCGCAAGCTCCGCCTCCCAGGTTCACGCCATTCTCCTGCCTCAGCCTCCCGAGTAGCTGGGACTACAGGCACCCGCCACCACGCCTGGCTAATTTTTTGTATTTTTAGTAGAGACGGGGTTTCACCGTGTTAGCCAGGATGGTCTCGATCTCCTGACCTCGTGATCTGCCTGCCTCGGCCTCCCAAAGTGCTGGGATTACAGGCGTGAGCCACTGCGCCCGGCAAGCGTACTTTTTCTCCCGGAGAGGTGGAGTGGACTGTGTTTGGGCCAAGATTCCTCCCAGGAATCTCTGATTATCTAAATCACTGATTAGTCTGGGGGTGAGTCCCCAAGAGTCCCTGGGAGCAGGGAAGGACTCCAACTATGAGGCGTGGGCAGGAGGAGAACGTAACCTAATTCCCGGAACTCTGCCCAGGCTCTCTTATCCCTGGCATTTCACACTCAGGATGGCTGTGCTGGCCCCATTCACAGCAGTGTTGCTGAGATGCAGGCTCTGCGTCCTGTCCCTCTGCCCTAGCATACGGCAGGGCTAGGCCTGGGGGACAACAACAGTTAGCTGGATTCTGCCAGGCTCCTTCCACAAACCCCTCAACGTGTGCCTTAGTGCACCCACGTACGGGCAGGGCAGTCGGCGGCTTGCAGCCCCAGGGCTGCCTGGCTGGCCCAGGGTAGCCCATCCCCGGGAGGAGCTCCATGCCACACGGGGCTGGATGCCCCCTCACTTCCCATCACAGAGCTCAGCAGTGGACTCGGGAGGAAACACAGCCCAGGGTGCTGCTGGGGCTGTGGGGTAGACATCTGAGGCCAGGCACACGGAGGAGCCCCTGCCAGCACTCAGGCCCAGGCCCATCCATACTCCTGCCCCAGGCGGGGGGTCCTTTCCAGGAGAAGAGGGGGCACAGGGACAGTGGAGAGAAGTTCGAGGAGGGTTGCTGCAGCGCGTTCCTCAGCACCTTCTGATTTCTCCCCACAGGTATTACAACTGGGTGTCCTTTCCCGGGTGCCTGGCCAGAGGGGCTGAGACCCGTGGTTCCTCCAGGATGAAGACATTTGAGGAATTCCCCATGACCCCAACGACCTACAAAGGCTCTGTGGTACTTCACATGAAGGGTGGGGGCTGCGCTCTCGGCTCAGGGCTGGGGCCGCCTCAGGGGAGGCAGCGTCAGGAATTCGTAAGGCAAATGGCAGAACCCAACGACTGTCCTTTGAAAGTGCAAGTCCAGGGTGAGCCTTGGGCACATTTGGGCCCTCCTGCGATGCCACGACTCACAGCTGCTTTCTGTCCTATGCCCTCGTCACCCCCACACGAGGCCTCCCCTCCTCAGCAGCGCAGAAACCCCAGTGGAAGGACGGCTCCTCCTCGGTGGCAGGTTCGGGGGTCCCGGGCCTGGTCAGTGAGCGCTGGGCAGAGGGGCCCCATGGGAGCCCTTGGCCAGACCACAGGGACCTGGGTTCCTGCCTCCAGGGCCACTTGGAGATGTTGGGGGACTCTGAAAAGATCGCAGTTTCCCTCCCGTGTAATTCAAAATAAAAACCACACCAAGCCACAGTCGAAGGATAACAAAGCCCCCCAAACCGGGAGGCAGCCTCACATGGATCGTTTTTTGAACTACGAGCTGCCAGGTTGTGAGGCCTCTCCCTGCTTCTCCCACGGCTCCTGCTCTTCACACACTGAGCATATGCTTGGCCACCGTGGAGGTCCCCAAGTATGAGGCGTCCACGGGCCACACACAGCCCCCCTGACCTCAGTGTCTCCCTCCGTGGCAGGGGCATGTGACCCTCACCCTGGGATGGAATGGACGCCTTGTTTCTGGCTCAGCTTCCCAGGGACAGGTGTTAGGTCAGCCGCGCTGCAGGACCATGCCGCACTTTCCTGGCTGGGGGTGGCTGCCCTGCAGGAGGGCCTCAGGCGGGACCCACAGCCTGGCTTGTCCTCTCCACACAGGACAACCAGACAGACAGTGGGATGGTGCTGGCCTCGGAGGAGTTTGAGCAGATAGAGAGCAGGCATAGACAAGAAAGCGGCTTCAGGTAAGGGCTTCGTGAGCCTCCTGCACTGCAGGTATCGATGTTGCCCTCCCCTGGAGGAGGGAGGCTGGGGTCTGGGTGTGCCCAGCCCTCTTCCCGGAACCTTTCGTGGCTCCCTATGGCCTTTTCGCGCGTTCAAGGTGAGCTGCCTGAGACCCCTCCTGACCTACAGCACCGCGGGAGCCCCTCCCTGTCACATGCTGGCCACGTGGGCGCTGGTCCCGACACCTCCCTGTCATCTGACAGAGCTCAGATGCTGTGTCTTTCTGACACCACACGTAACCCACCATGCCCAGGGCACACACACTCTCCTCCAGGTTGGGGAGGCCACCCCAGCCCCAGAACCCCGGAACTTCACCCAGTGGCTCCAGAAGCCGGGTAGATACTGTAATCTGAACTGGCTGGTGTAGGGTCCGGCCCTGTGGGGCTTAGCGGGTGTTCTCCCCGTGTGTGGAGATAAGAGATCGTAAGAAAGAAAGACACAAGACAGAGATAAAGAGAAAACAGCTGGGCCTGGGGGACCCCTACCATCAAGACGTGGAGACCGGTAGTGGCCCCGAATGGCTGAGCACGCTGATATTTATTGCATGCAAGACAAGGGGGCAGGGTCAGGAGGGTGAGTCGTTCAAGTGATTGATAAGGTGAAGCAAGTCACATGATCATGGGACGGGGCCCTTCCCTCTTAGGTAGCTGAAGCAGAGAGAGAGAAGGCAGCATACGTCAGCATTTTCTTCTCTGCACTTATAAGAAAGATCAAAGACTTTAAGACTTTCGCTATTTCTTCTACTGCTATCTACTACAAACTTCAAAGAGGAACCAGGAGGACAAGAGGAGCATGAAAGTGGACAAGGAGTGTGACCACTGAAGCACCACAGGGAGGGGTTAGGCCTCCGGATGACTGCGGGCAGGCCTGGATAATATCCAGCCTCCCACAAGAAGCTGGTGGAGCAGAGTGTTCCCTGACTCCTCCAAGGAAAGGGAGACGCCCTTTCATGGTCTGCTGAGTAACAGGTGCCTTCCCAGACACTGGCGTTACTGCTTGACCAAAGAGCCCTCAAGCGGCCCTTATGCCAGCGTGACAGAGGGCTCACCTCTTGCCTTCTAGGTCACTTCTCACAATGTCCCTTCAGCACCTGACCCTGTGCCCACCAGTTATTCCTTGGTAATATGAGTAATACATCAAAGAGTAGTATTAAAAGCTAATTAATCATGTTTATACTAATGACTGATAATGTCCATGATCATCTCTCTATCTAATTTGTATTATGACTATTCTTATTCTATTTTCTTTATTTTATATATATATATGTATGTATGTATTTTTTTTTTTTTGAGACAGTCTCGCTCTGTCTCCCAGGCTAGAGTGCAGTGGTGCGATCTCTGCTCGCTGCAACCTCCGCCTCCTGGGTTCACGCCATTCTCCTGCCTCAGCCTTCCGAGTAGCTGGGACTACAGGCACCCGCCACCACGCCCGGCTAATTGTTTTGTATTTTTTTTAGTAGAGACCGGGTTTCGCCATGTTAGCCAGGATGGTCTCGATCTCCTGACCTCGTGATCCGCCCGCCCTCGGCCTCCCAAAGTGCTGGGATTACAGGCCTGAGCCACCGCGCCCGGCCACTGTTTTCTTTATTATACTGAAACAGTTTGTGCCTTCAGTCTCTTGCCTCAGCACCTGGGTGATCCTTCGCCCACAGGCTGGGATGTATTTTGGCAACAGAGAAATACCCACATATCCCAGATAGAAAGTGAACTCCATTTGCCCAACATGACAGCCAGGGGAAAAACAGTTTTGGCCATTTTGAATGTTGAAACTTTTAAGGGTATAGATTTAAACAAAGACTTCAGTGTCTGCTTAAAAGATTCATTTTATTTTTATTTTTATTTTTATTTTTTGAGACAGAGTCTCACTCCGTCACCCAGGCTAGAGTGCAGTGGTGCGATCTCGGCTCACCGCAACCTCCACCTCCCGGGTTCACGTGATTATCCTGCCTCAGCCTCTTGAGTAGCTGGGATTATAGGCGTGTGCCACCACGCCCAGCTAAGTTTGTTTGTTTGTTTTTTTTTTTTTTTTTTTTTTAGTAGAGACGGGGTTTCGCCACGTTGGCCAGGCTGGTCTTGAACTCCTGGCCTCAAGTGATCTGCCCTCAGCCTCCCAGGGTGCTGGGATTACAGGTATGAGCCACCACGCCCAGCTCATCAGGTGACTCCTGTTAGTACCTGGTTTTGGAAAATCAATGGTGGTCACATTTACGGAAATAGCTTTGGGCTAATTTTTCGTCACCAAACAGCATTTCGACATTCAAAAAACAAGGTAATTAAGTAAAAGGTGTCACAGAGAATGATCGCCACGTAAATTCAAACCTCTACACACCTTCGAGAAACAGCACAGCTCCTTGAGATCAAAGAAGGCCGCTCAGCCCAGGCCTGTGGCTCAGCTAGGAGACAGACTCCGTGGAAACGTGAGTTGGGGACTCAACGCCAGGACCCGCACGGCTGAGCCTGCACCATGGTGGGAGAGTCAGATAGGGCCGTCCCGTGAGAGGAGAGTGTGACGAGGTCCTTGGGGATGTGGCAACACAGACCCAGGGGTGACGGAGGAGATGGGGCTGCGAGGAGAGCTCCCTTGCCAAGCCCGAGGCACTGGGCAGCCATCTTGCTTCTGAAAGGGCGGCGAGCCAGAAGGGAGTGCAGCCCCTTGGATGCTTGGTGGTAGAGGAAGAAGAAAGTTCCAGAAGACATGGGTCCTAAGGAAGCAAGATAGTATCCAGAAGTCAGAAGAAGACACATGATGGATTTGTTCATTTGAGAAACTGCACCACCCTGTATCGGCAGCAGAGGGCACTGTTCTTTGTCCTCTGTCGACAATGAGCCAAGAAAAGGTGCCACAGGTCTCTGGCGGGTGCATCCGCTTGGCATACAGAATGCTGTGCAAACAGGTGCAAGGAGAGAATGTGCCTTGGTGGGGTGTGGGGAGAAGAAGGAGGAATCTATCTGCCTAGTCCTTCGCTGTCTCCTGTTAACCACTGGTCGGCACTCGCCCCATGGGGGTTCACCTCCTCACTCCTGGGTTACATCATCCAGCCCCTTCAGTACCCACTTAGGATGCCAGAGCCCGTACCTATAGATGTGGCTTTTCACCTGCATCTGTGGGTGGAAGGAGATCAGGAAACTGGGCTTGTGGTCACTCAGCATGGCTGCGTGCAGCCAGTGGAGGGCCTAGCTCTTCTGGGTAAGAGACTAGCTGGCCCCTGGTGGCAGGATGATACGGGACGTGTATGAGCCTTCAGAAGGAAGAATGTGCTCAAAGGAACTTGAGATGCCAAAGATATGGGTTTGAGGTGGCACTTTTAAGTGAAGAAATGTAGGATGCCACCAAAATCCCTAGTCCCATCCACAGGAGAAGTGGCTATTTCTGGTGTAGGAAATCCTAACATGAATAATCCTGAACCCCCAAAAAAGCACCCTCCATACAAAGTTATAGGAATAAGACAGTATTAGAGTTAAAACTTCCCGGTAGACAATTGTTCAAAAGAAACAGGAAAACGAGCAAAATGCTCCAACATGAATTAAACATATAAGGAAACAAGCAGTGGCTTGTTTTGTTGAATCTGAAATTCAAAATTTCAGGATAGAAATGGACGGACAATGTGATGATACAACTGACAGCAGACTAAATTCAGGAAAGAAATCGAAATAAAAGATAGATTCGGCCAGGCAGTAGCTCTCACCTGTAATCACAGCACACTGGGAGGCTGAGGCAGGAGGATCACTTGAGGCCCGGAGTTCAAGACCAACCTGGGCAACAGAATGAGACGCTGTCTCTACAAATAGTAATTTTAAAAATTAGCTGGGTGTGGTGGCCCATGCCTGTGGTAGCAGCCGCTCAGCAGGCTGAGGTGGGAGAGTTGCTTGAGCCCAGAAGGTCGAGGATGCAGTGAGCCATGATCGTGCCACTGCACTCCAGGCTGGGCAACACAGCAAGCCCCCATTTTGGGGGAAAAAAACCCGATAAATCTTTTCTAAAACCAGGGCACCACAGGGACAATATGTATGAGCAGACTGATAGTGCCAGACACAGAGGATGGACGTGAAAAGAGGAAAACAAAACTGAAAAGAGGCAAAAGGATCAGAAAGTGACAGGAATAGAAAAGAGACAATATATATAAAATTGGGAGTCCCAGAGGAAGAAAATGCAAACAGTAAAAGAACTAATATTTTAAACTTACAGTCAAGAGTTTTCAGTAGCACCATGCAAAGCACCAAACAAGAAGTCAACATCTTCAAAAAATGCAAAGAAAGTGAGCGCTTGAGGATGGTGCATGATAGGGCAGGCAGAGAGGAGGGCAGGGGCAGAAACCACCCCCTAGGTCAAGGCGAGAGGCCTGGATTTGCTTCGTGGAGTGACGGGAAGCCGTTGGAGGGCGTGTCAGGAGGAGAATGACATAGTGTAACTTGAAGGACCTCTCTGAAGGGTGGACCACCAGGAGGCCAGGGTGGAAGCACACAGCAGTCCGCGGGAGGATGTCACAGAGCCGGCAAGGACACAGCTGGCTCCGCAGGAGGGCCAGGAATGGAGATGCACGGATGTGTCCTGGAGTTAGAATGGACAGGACTTCTGGATGGATTGGCTTTGAAGAGTGAGGGGAAGGAGGAAGCAAGGAGAACCCCAGGGTGCTTGGCTTGAGCGGCTGAGGGGACGGTGGTGCCGTTCACTGAGATGGGCAAGACAGAGTGAGAACTGGGTTGGGGGATGAAGTTGGACATTCTTCACAGTCTCGGGTCCAGGCTAGGTAGGGACAGAGCTCCAGTGAGTGCTGGATCAGATCGATCCGCTTTGCTGTTTGAGTCGAGTCTGTGTGTGTTTTCTGAAGTCTGAACGCATGCCATGCTCCACTGTGTCCTTGGTGGTTCCCATCAGACCCTGACAGGGCTCCAGTCCCTCCTTGTTTTTTGTTAGTTTGTTTTTGAGACAGGGTCTCACTTTGTCACCCAGGCTGGAGTGCAGCGGCACGATCTTGGCTCACTGAAACCTCCACCTCCTGGGCTCAAGCAATTTTTTTTTTTTTTAAGATGGAGTCTCACTCTGTCGCCCAGGCTGGAGTGCAGTGGTGCGATCTCAGCTCACTGCAAGCTCCGCCTCCCGGGTTCACGCCATTCTCCTGCCTCAGCCTCCCGAGTAGCTGGGACTACAGGCGCCCGCCACCACGCCCGGCTAATGTTTTGTATTTTTAGTAGAGACGGGGTTTCACCGTGTTAGCCAGGATGGTCTCGATCTCCTGACCTCGTGATCCGCCCGCCTCGGTCTCCCAGCAAAGTGCTGGGATTACAGGCATGAGCCACCGCACCCGGCCTCAAGCAATTGTTTCACTTAGCTGGGACCGCAGGCGTGCACCACCATGCCTGGCTAATTTTTGTATTTTTTGTAGAGACGGGGTTTCCCCATGTTGCCTGGGCTGGACTCTAACTCCTGGCCTGAAGCCATCCGCCTGCCTAGGCCTCCCAAGTACTGGGATTACCAGTATGCACCACCCGCCACCCAGCCTTCTTCTCTTACTAACACCACCTTCCCTGTCTTGGCAGCTGTAAAGGACCTGGCCAGAATGTGGCTGTGACCAGGGCACACCCTGACTCCCAAGGGAGGCGGCGGCGGCCTGAGCGGGGGGCCCGAGGAGGCCAGGTGTTTTACAACAGCGAGTATGGGGAGCTGTCGGAGCCAAGCGAGGAGGACCACTGCTCCCCGTCTGCCCGCGTGACTTTCTTCACAGACAACAGCTACTAAGCAGCATCGGACAAGACCCCCAGCACTTGGGGGTTCAGGCCCGGCAGGGCGGGCAGAGGGCTGGAGGCCCAGGCTGGGAACTCATCTGGTTGAACTCTGGTGGCACAGGAGTGTCCTCTTCCCTCTCTGCAGACTTCCCAGCTAGGAAGAGCAGGACTCCAGGCCCAAGGCTCCCGGAATTCCGTCACCACGACTGGCCAGGGCCACGCTCCAGCTGCCCCGGCCCCTCCCCCTGAGATTCAGATGTCATTTAGTTCAGCATCCGCAGGTGCTGGTCCCGGGGCCAGCACTTCCATGGGAATGTCTCTTTGGCGACCTCCTTTCATCACACTGGGTGGTGGCCTGGTCCCTGTTTTCCCACGAGGAATCTGTGGGTCTGGGAGTCACACAGTGTTGGAGGTTAAGGCATACGAGAGCAGAGGTCTCCCAAACGCCCTTTCCTCCTCAGGCACACAGCTACTCTCCCCACGAGGGCTGGCTGGCCTCACCCACCCCTGCACAGTTGAAGGGAGGGGCTGTGTTTCCATCTCAAAGAAGGCATTTGCAGGGTCCTCTTCTGGGCCTGACCAAACAGCCAACTAGCCCCTGGGGTGGCCACCAGTATGACAGTATTATACGCTGGCAACACAGAGGCAGCCCGCACACCTGCGCCTGGGTGTTGAGAGCCATCCTGCAAGTCTTTTTCAACAGAACTTCACAGACTGTTAGAGCTGCTGAGAAGAATTTGCTTTCCGAATTCAGCCTGGAAGGCGCCCAGGGACAGCTGTACTGAGTCTAGATGACTCTGACCCCCGCCCCAGGTCAAGGCCAGCAGAGCAGTCAGTGCCTCTGGAGAAGGCCCTTGCTCTCCCACCTGGCCCAGACTCCGAGGAGCCTGGGTCTGGAGCTGCCGGTCTGGTTCTTCCCTTTAGAGCCCGGATCTGCCACCTGCGGCCCCTCCCAAGCCGTGAACCAGCTCATGAGAGATGAACACTGTGGGATCCACTCAGGAAGGCTCGGGGCTGGCACAAAGGACCACCCAGCATTGCCCTGTGCCACCCAGCACTCAGTGGACATTCTGGGGACCTGCCTTCAGCCTTTTCCTGCCCTGTGCCTGACATCAGCACCCTGGCTGGTCAGAATGCCGCCCTCCCAGAGGAGCAGCCGAGAGATCCCCTGAAGGCTGGAGGCATTCTGCTCAGGACCCCTATCCCAGCTCACAGTGCCCAACCATCTCACCAGGAGAAAGAGCCACATCCCCACGTTAGGACCACGGAGACTGACCACCACCCTGACCCCCCAAACCCACGCACCAGACGCTTGCAGGACAGGCGCCGCGCAGCGGGCAGGGGCTTGCCCGGCCGACCCTCCCCTCCCCACCTCCCCCACTGCGCGTTACTCCAGGATATGCCGAGTGCACGTATAAGGTCATCTTCGTCGTCCCCGTGGACCTCCCCCTTCCTCTGCACGTCGTCCAACGTGGGACTGGCGTGTCAGGCTTCCCTGGGAGGATCTGGAGGTTGTTCTCTGCAGAGAACCAGCCTGGCTCCTGGCGCGCACCTCTGCTCCCTTCTCCTCACTACCCACCCACGCATGTACCGGGAAAAAAACTACTATGCCCTTCTAGACCATGTTCTGAGAAAAGATCGAAAATATTTAACAAGAGATAATAATAAATCTGATGCCGGTCTTTGTGTGTGTTGCGGACGGGAGTGTTGCTTTTATTGTTTTTGCTTCCGTAATAAATCTAAATGGGAATACAGAACAGCCCCCACATTGGGCTTTTTTTTTTTTTTTTTTTTTTTTTTGAGACAGTTTTGCTCTTTCCCCCAGGCTGGAGTTCAGTGGCGCGATCTCGGCTCACTGGAACCTCCGTCTTCAAGCAATTCTTCTGCCTCAGCCTCCTGAGTAGCTGGGATTACAGGCACCTGCCACCACGCCCAGCTAATTTTTGTATTTTTAGTAGAGACGGGGTTTCACCATGTTGGCCAGGCTGGGCTCGAACTCCCGGCCTCAGCCTCCCAAAAGTGCTGGAATTACAGGTGTGAGCCACCGCGCCCGGCCGCTTTTTTTTTGTTTTGGTTGGTTGGTTGGTTTGTAGAAATGAGGTCTCACTGTATTGCCCAGGCTGGGTTTGGATATTTTAGCTTTCCATTATAATTGACTGAATTTAGTCACTGACCTTGACATATGTGCCAACCCAGGTGTCCACCAACAGGGTGTCCCCCCGTGCCCAGGGCTGAGCGGCTCTCCAAGCCCAAAGTATGCCCCTGTGTGTTGGGAACTGAAACACCTCTGTGCTCCCATCCCGTACCATTTCCCAGCAGGGCTGCGCTCACACTTCCGGGCTCCTCTGGAACTTCCTGGGTTGGACCTTAAGGGCTGGGCTCAAGTGTCCCTGCAGGTCCCAGCCACCCTTTCACACCCCAGAGCACCACTCACTCCAGGAGTGGCTGTGTGGATGGAGACAGCCAGCGAGCGGGGAGGGAGGAGTCACACCAGGCTACAGCGTGCTCGCACTGCGAGGGCCCCTTGGTCCCTTCTGCCTCCCAAGAACCTTCTCACCTTCTCCTCTCAGGCTCCAGCCCTTCTCTGGGTGCCACCGCCCGCCTATGCCTCCCCACCTCCACCCCAGCCCTTCACTCTATTCATTTCTGCCAAGAGCCCTTCGTCACCTGCTTGGGGGAGGTTTGGGGCCCAGGACATGCCCGAATGTCCTTTGATGCTGTTGATTCTATGCTGACGTCCCCAGTGCCTCTCGGTGTGCTCAGGCCCTGGCGTTTGCATCCAGCAGGCAGAGCTCCCGGGTGGCTGCTCAAAGCCACACGTGGTCCTAGGCCCTGGAGTTGGAACTCACAAACCGCAGCCCCTGCTGTGAGGAGTGAAGAAGAGCAAAGAGGAAGACCAGAAGGACAGGCGAGGGAGGGAAGTGGGATGTGGGACAGGAGGCCACAGGGGACCTAGGGCCTGGGAGTCCAGAGTTGGGCCTGTTTCTTATTTTAAGGCTAGACGGGCATTCTGAGAAGGGCTGACGTCTTTCACCGAGAAGGAGGGATCTTGAAGGAGCTTGGCGGGGTCTGCAGGGGTGCTGGCAGGCTAGGAGATCAGAGGGACCCCCGGGAGGGCCCTACACAGCTCCCGCCCTAGATGCTCATTATGCTTGGGAGGAGGGAACCCAAAAAGCAGCTTCCAGCACCAACACCGGCTCCCTCCCTCTCATTTCCCCTGACCCCATCCTCACCCCATTACCACTCCCAGGCCACTCCACCCCAGTGGGCCCAAATCAACTTTTTTTTTTTTTTGAGACGAAGTTTCACTCTGTCACCCAGGCTGGAGTGCAGTGGTGCAATCATAGCTCACTGCAGCCTCAACCTCCCGTGCTCACATGATCCTCTCGCCTCGGCCTCCTGAGTAGCTGGGACTACGGGGCTCACTGTGCCTAGCTTCCAGGTAGACTCTTGAAGCTGTGTGCTTAGCCCAGATAATCAGCCACAGTGTCCAAGGTGCTGGCCAGTCCCCAGGTCACTGGGGCCATCTCCAGCCCTGATCTCTGCATGTGGATTCAGGGAGGGGACCATAGCATCACTGAGCGGGGACTGCCTTTGTGCCTTTGGCAACCACCAAATGAGGCCTGGGTCTCCTCTGCCACTGGGCAGAGAGCCTGGGACAGGCTGGGCTCTGAGGGCTCCTCAGGGCTGGGAGCGGAGGATGGGGTATGAGATGTGGCACCCTGCAGCTGGTGAGCCTGAGCCCAGCACCTCCCCTCGGAGCCTCAGTTTCTCATTCATGACTGCCACCTTGTAGAGCTTTGGTGATAAAAGTCATAAGGCCCCAGTGGTGCTGGGGGTGACCACACCCAGGTAAAAGCCCCCTTCCGACCAAGTGGTGTGAACAGGGGCCTATGAGCCCCCCTTGACTCACCCACCCACCCATGCACCAGCTAACACGTGCTCCCACCCGTCCCCCATATGCCCGATGGACTGAAGGTTTGTGTCCTCCTGAAATGTACATGTTGAAACCCTACTCCCAGTGTGATGGCGTTAGGAGGTGGGGCCCTTGGGAGGTGAGCAGGTCATGAGGGTGGAGCCCCTGGGAATGGGATTAGTGTCCTTACAAGAGGAGGCCAGAGAGCTCCGTAGCCCTCTTTCCACCGTGTGAGAAGTCAGCTGTCAGGAAACCAGGAAGCCCCTCACCAGACCCCCGATCTGCCTGCGCCTTGATCTTGGCCTTCCCAGCTTCCAGGACTGTAAGAAAGAAATGTGAGCCCAGCCTCAAAGCGCTGTGCACAGGGGAAATGCATCCCTCCTGAGGGCAAACTGGGCGGTGTCTGAGGTCAGCAAGCGCCCCCACACTCCCCCCACCCTTGTTCTGCTCTGGAGGAGTAACTGGCTGCAGCCACCACCGCGAGGAGAGGGGACCGTTTCCCCTTCCTGGGCCCAGTGGGGGACACCACCTTCCCCTCAGGGGCGCATCCAAAGAGGGAAGCAGAAACTCCTAAACTTTCCACCCGAGCCACGAGTGGCCAAGGGTGCCATAAAGCTGATGGTGGGCCGGGAGGCTAGAGGATGTGGGGGCTGAACTAGGGCTTGATGGGGAGCCCAGAGCGGCCACAGAGAGAGAGGATTAAGGGATTTGGAACACGCCTGGGGGCAGCATCCTTGGCAGCCTGGGCTGCCCCTCTGTGGCACACAGGGGTGGAGTCAGCCGGGCAGCTCCCAGGGTCCCGCCCATCCCTGGCTGCTCTGAGGCACTGCCAGGAGCTCCATCACAGCTGGCTTGTGGGCAGCAGGGCCACACAGGACTGCCCGGCCCTGGAAGGAGGCAGCTCCCCTGAGAAGGACATGGCCTCCCCTAGGGACAGCCGGGTACCTGGAAGTCATCAGCCAGTCTCCACGGAGAGGCAGCAGTAACGGAAGGGAACGCTCGGAAGGGGCCTTGCTTTGGGACGGCAGCAAGTGCATCTCTGCCATGGTGGGATCTTGGCCTGGAGTCTGGGCTGGGGCCTCCCCTGGGTCTGACCCCCCAACTCTCACCCCTGCCTGGCTGCTCCCAGCCCTGGCACGTGGAGGCAGCACAGGACGCTGTGCCTTCCGGGTCAATGGGCGTGTGAAGAGCATGGCCTGGGCACCGTGCAGACCCATCTCAGACTGCCAGGGGACTGCAGGCCGGTCACTGACGTTCTCTGAGCTGTGTTTCTTCTAAATCGTGAGGGTGATAATGCCCGTCTCACCCCAGTGCCATTCCACGCAGGAAACCACTTCAGTCCCTGGACACGGTGGGGCTCTGGGGACTGAAGTGCTTTCCTCAATGGAATGGTATTGGGGTGGGGAGGACAGGGAGTGCTGCTGGGCACACAGAGGTGTGGAGCCCTGCCCAGGGTCACCTCCTGAATCCCTGCCAGCACCCCTTCCTCAGCCTCCTTCCTCACTGAACAGACTGAAGCAGGGAAGTGGGACCTAATGAGACACGATGTTTCCTCTGCTGCTGCTGCTGTGGCCAGCACGGTCCTTGGAGCAGTGGGGTGAAGCCTCACGGGAGGGCCCTGGGGATAGCACCAGCGCTTGTGTGCCTGGGCCCAAATTGGTATCGGAGGTTTGGCACTGCTGGCTGCCAGCCTGTCACTCCAAGGAGGACAACTCTAAAAAATGGGAGCTGAGAGGCCGGGCGCGGTGGCTCACGCCTGTAATCCCAGCACTTTGGGAGGCCGAGGCAGGCAGATCACGAGGTCAGGAGATCGAGACCATCCTGGCTAACACGATGAAACCCTGGCTGTACTGAAAATACAAAAATTAGGCGGGCATGGTGTCGGGCGCCTGTAATCCCAGCTACTCAGAAGGCTGAGGCAGGAGAATCGCTTGAACTTGGGGTCAGAGGTTGCAGTGAGCCGAGATTGCACCACTGCACTCCACCTTGGGCAACAGAGCAAGACTCCATCTCAAAAAAAAAAAAAGGAGCTGAGAGATGGCAGGGAAGAATGAGGTATGAGGTCCTGGTGACATCCTTTGAGCCTGGATCAACCTTTCCCTGAAGGCGGAGCCACTCCTGGAATTTCAGTCTTTGCTTAAAGCCACGTGGGTCAGCTTTTCTGTCACTTTCACCAATGCCCTGAACCCACAAGGCAGGAACCACATCGACAGCACCTGCTCCCCTCCGCACAGCAGGGCCCTGTGGGTGGGAGTGCCGACAGGGAAGGGGCAAAAGGAAGTGGCTGAGAGCCAGATCAATATTGACCCAGGGACGGTGCCACAGAGGGCGCTCGGATATGCTCACGACACTGCCCAGTGCCCGAGGGCCCACGGGGCTGAGCTATGAGGAAAGAGGACGCGGGCTGAGGAGGGGGTGCTGAGCGCCCCAGGGCCCACGGGGCCGAGCCATGAGGAGGGAGGACGGGGGCTGAGGAGGGGGTGCTGAGCGCCCCAGGGCCCACGGGGCCGAGCCAAACCACTTCCTACTGGCGCAGGAGAAAGCCCAGAGTGCCTGCTGGGACTGGCCGAGGTGCCTGTCCTTGTGGGGCCCACTCAGGGCGGTGTGGAGGGTCGCTGCTGCTGGCCGCTGTGGTGGCCCTGGCCAGGAGCCCCCACAAGTCCCTTGAAAAAGGGTCCCAGGACCATCGGGAAACTCAGGGTGCCGGCTGACACCACCAGGGCTGCCCACCGGTCCCCACCTTCGAGTAGGAAAGTTTGCTCAGAAGGAGTGAGGAAGGGGGCCTCGGGGCCGGGGTCCAGCGCCTGCGGCCTTTGGCTCTAGACATAAAAAGAAGAGCAGCTTCTATTGGAACAGCACCACAGACCCCTCCCAAAGCCCCAGATCATTCTAGCATGGAGGGCTAACCTAACCAGGGCCCAGCCACCAGGACACCACCTGACAGCCAGCTGCTATCCCAGGAGAGCAGAGGTGGGCAGAGAGGGGCCCCAGAAAACTCCGGCAATGAACAGTCACCAAGATGCCTGCTCTGGCGGGGAGCTGCACTCACCTGCCCAGGTGACCACATCAGAGAGGCATGGGTATCCGGAGTTCAACCCAGTTTGCTTAATAATTTATGTACTCAAGGCATTAGGAAGAGAGGGCACCAGAGAAAGAGGGATATCAAAGAGAGGGGGCATCACAGAGAGCAGGGGCCTCAGAGAGAGAGGACATCAGAGAGAGAATGGGGACATGGTGGGGGCATCAGAGTGGGCATCTGCCACCTGAACAGCCCTCCACAGGTGTCTGCGGAAGCACCGCCAAAGCGTGGGCCGGGCGGAGGCACCGTGAGCCTCTAGGCTCCCCAGCAGGAGCACCCAGGGGCTGAGTACCCTGCTCCGAGGCCCTGAGGTCTTTCAATAGGCCCCAAATTCAATATCTGGCCCCTTCCCCAGAGCCGCAAAGTGCTTGTTTACCTTCCAGCTCTTCCTGCATTCCGTGGGAGTGGGCAAGGTGTGCGTGTTTATTTTGGCCCAAAAGATGCCCTGCAAACACTGCCCAGAACAAGCTGACCGTGTCGTCTGCAGACAGCGCCAAGCACTTTCTCAGTGTCTCGGCAGACCTGAGCCAGCAAGGGCCGCAAGCAGGAGTGGCAGGGAAGGCCCAGGCTGACGAGAGGGCGCTGCCCACCCGCCCCTGTCCCATGCCGGGCGGACTCTGACACCCACCCTGGAAGCCTCACCTGGCCTGGCCTTCAAGGGGCAGGGCAGCACTTGGAGGGCATGGCAGGCCCCAGGTCCGTCCACACCCCAGCTCCTGGAACCTTGGAATGTTAGGCTCAGCAGGCACGGTCTCGGCAGCCCGACTGGGGGCGTCATTGTGAGATGAGGGGACTGTCCTGGGTTATCTAGGTGAGCCCTAAATGCAACAACACACACACTCATAAGATGGCGGCAGAATTTTCACACTCACACACACCCACACTCACACACACATTCACACACACTTGCACACAATTCAAACACATGCATATCCACACACTCCCTCCCACACACTCCCTCCCACACTCTCCCTCCCACACAGACTGACTCACGCTTATCCACACACACACTTGTACACACATTCACACTCAAACACACCCACAAGCTCACACCCACTCACTCTCCTTCACATGCACATTCTCATTCACTGTCCATCTTACACACTTGCATGCATATTCACTCTCACCCCTCCACACACACACCCCCACACATCCCCACACCCACACACACCCACACATGAACCCTCACACACACCCACATACACACCCACACATACACACCCTCACACACACCCCACACACACTCACACACCCACACATACCCTCACACACCCTCACACACACCCATACCCTCTCACTCCCACACACCCACACACGAACCCTCACACACCCACACACACCCCCACACACACCCACACACCCACACACACCCACACACCGACAAACCCTCACACACACACCCCACGCACCCTCACACACACACCCACACACACAGAAGAGGAGGAGGCCATGTGACCAGGAGGCAGAGACTGGAGTGATGCAGTCACCAGCCAAGGGGCCCTGGCAGCCCCCATAAGCAGGGAGAGGCCAGGAGTGGATAAGCTCCTGGGAAGGCCCAGCCTCTGGAGGAGGAGCGGCCCCCGACGCCTCGCCTTCACCCCCGTGACACTGCACTTCTGGGCTCCAGAACTGCGAGCGGAGTAAATGTGTTGTTTTCAGCCACCAGGTATGTGGTGACTTGTCACAGCAGCCTCAGGAAATGAATACAGAGGCAGCCGCTGACCCAGCTGTGCAGGTCTCGGCACAGGCCAGACCCTCGGCCTGCCTGATCCCCAACTACCGCAGAGGCTTCGCCAGCCGTGGCCCCCAGAGCCAGTGTGGGGTGAGGGGCTGGGCCAGCCTGAGGTGAGTCCTGGCTTGCCTTGACCATGGCAGCTCGGGAGAGGAGAGCACATCCTTTGGCCCTGTCAGTGGTGAAACGGAGACACCGTGACACACTTCTCCGGGGAGCCAGGGGATGTATTTTTGGAATCCGAAATCTTGGGGCACATGGGAATGAGGGCCTGTCACCACCCTGCAGGCTTGTGGGAAATGGGAACAGATCCACCCAAGGCACTATGAGCCGGAAGGTGGAGGGAGGTTATTTTGAAGACAAAGGATCCCTGGAGGCAGGTGCAAGGGGCCGCTGGAGTGGCCAGGACCCCAAGCGCTGCTGGGGACCCACAGATGACGGCCTCCCCCTCCTCCTGGCCTCGGCAGCATCGGTCTTTCCCGCGGTCAGTGTTCTCTGGTCCCCAGGCAGCATGGGGAAAGGTGGCCCCAAAGTCAGCTCCCAAGATGCGCCCACTGGGATTGCTTGGGCCAAGGCTGCCAGATCCTGCTCAGGAGAAGAACAAGCATCATGAGGTTGTGGACACACTGGGATCCTTGTGCATTGTTGCTGGGAAGGCAGCGTGGTGCCGCTGCTATGGGAGAGATGGCAGATCCTCACAAATGACACAG
This sequence comes from Homo sapiens, assembly GCF_000001405.40. Classification (NCBI taxonomy): domain Eukaryota; kingdom Metazoa; phylum Chordata; class Mammalia; order Primates; family Hominidae; genus Homo; species Homo sapiens. Next base: position 180,593,767 of record NC_000005.10, on the reverse strand, counting down.
GCAAGTTCCACAGGCTCCAGCCATTCTACCTCTGAGCAGCCACCCAAAACAGCCAACAGCAGGGTCCCAAAGAGGCATTTGCACAGCCGTGTTCACGGCCGCATTACTCACAGCAGTGAAAACATGCAAGCGCCCACATGTCCACCCACGGGTGAAGTGAATGGGTGAAGAAAACGTGGCACAGCCATGCAATGGAGCAGTATCCTACCCTAAGAAGGAAGGAAACTCTGAAGGTCATGAATGAACCTGGAGGATATCATGCTAAGTGAAATACGCCAGACACAAAAGACAAACACTGCCCGATTCCACTCATATGAGGTGCCGGGAGTGGCCAGATTCAGAGACAGAAAGTGGAATGGTGGTGCCAAGGGCTTGGGGAGGGGAGTGGGGAGTTGTTTAATAGGCTCAGAGTTTCAGTTTTATAAGAGGAAAAGAGTTCTGGAAATGGATTGTGGTGATGTTTGCACAACATTAGAATATACTTAATGCTAATGGAGTGTGCCCTTAAGATGGTGAAGCTGGGCTGTGCGGGGTGGCTCACACGTGTCATCACAGCACCTTGGGAGTCTGAGGCGGGAGGATTGCTTCAGGCCAGGATTTTGAGACCAGCTTGGTCAATGTAGCGAGACCCCATCTCTAGAAAAAATAAAAATAAATCAAGCCAGGCGTGGTGGCTCACACCTGTAATCCCAGCACTTTGGGAGGCTGAGGCAAGAGTATCACTTGAGGCTAAGAGTTCAAGACCAGTCTGGGCAACACAGTGAGACTTTGTCTCTACAAAAAATAAACAAAATTAGCTGGACATAGTGGTGCACACCTATAGCCCCACCTGCTTGGGAGGCTGAGGTGGGAGAATTGCTTGAGCCTGGGAGGTGGAGGCTGCAGTGAACCAAGATCACCTCACTACACTCCAGCCTGGGCGACAGAGTGAGACTGTCTCAAAAAACAAACAAACAAAAAACAAAATCAAAATCCGCTGAGTGTGGTGGCTCACACCTCTAGTCCCAGCTACTTGGGAGTCTGAGGTGGGAGGATTGCTTGAGCTCAGGAGTTCGAGACCAGCCTGGGCAACACGGCAAGACAGTGTCTTTACCACCACCAAAAAAGTAATTAACTTCAAACTGTTTTTAAAAAAGAAAACGTATTTCCCATTAAAATTACTTCCATGATGACCAACAAAACACAACCAAACTCCAGATTTATAATGCAAAAATCCCCCAAACAAAATAGTCAAGGAAAAGTGTAAGTGAACAGAAACAGTGTGAATGCGTGTGCCTGGCCACAACAGTTGGCAAAGGCACAAGTGTCTGCAGGTGCGGAGGAGGCCGCAGTAGCTCGGGGTGGCTGAGGGCTAAGACGTGCTGTCAGCCATAGGGAAGGAATTCCAGGACACTGCCTGAAGAGTCAGGTCCTCCCACCCGGGAGCCTGTTTCCCACGCGTGCCAGCTACACTTTACAAAAGAAAAGAGAGACTTTGCACCAACCTAGCTGAGAGCAGCCACGCAGCAAAACGTGAGTCACTCAGTGCTCAATGCCTGGGGTCAAAAAATAGAGGAAAGAAGAAGGACTAAAAGCAAATTAGTTTATGTATCATTTGCAAAAGTTTTCAAAATGTGCTTTGCTCTCCATCTGTCATACTTCTGCAGGTGACAGACGAGTGAGGACATTTAGAGAAACTCAGGAACAAACCAGGCCCATCCACTGGCGTCGAGGCTAGTTTCGAAGACAGAAAAACGCCCCACTTCTGTTTGCACTGTGGCTGCCTGTGGCCCGGCCGGGGAGGCGGCCGGGAGTGAGGCCTGATCGTCCCTGGCGCCTCCACCTCCCCAGGCGCAGAAGGCGCCCACGAGGACCCCCAGTGCCCGACGTTGCCACGGTCTGGGATCAGAGGCAGGGACCAGGGAGCCAGGAACTGCGCCGCCCCCGCCCCTGCCCTGGCGCGAGGGAAGCTCCCCTCACCCGGGCCCAGCCCTGCAGGGGGGCGCGTGGGGTCAGACCGCAAAGCGAAGGTGCGGGCCGGGGTGGGCCTCGCGGAGACAAAGGCCGGGCCTGCCTGCTCTCAGAGGGCCCCAGCGCCTGCCAAGAGGAAGTCCTCGAGGCCCGGGCAGGGAAGGGGGCACGGGCTTCCCAGGGCCCGCCGGCCGCAGCAGGAAGTTGGCCAGGGCACGGCCGTGAGCGGAGCGGGCAGGGCTTTCTCAGGAGCGCGGGCGAGGCCGGCGCTGGAGGGGCGAGGACCGGGTATAAGAAGCCTCGTGGCCTTGCCCGGGCAGCCGCAGGTTCCCCGCGCGCCCCGAGCCCCCGCGCCATGAAGCTCGCCGCCCTCCTGGGGCTCTGCGTGGCCCTGTCCTGCAGCTCCGGTGAGCGCCCCGGGCTCCTGGCGCGCACGGTGGGGCCTGAGGCCTCGGCGCCCGCTGCGCCCCCGCCGCTGCCTGCGCCGATCGTGGATCCCAGGTCCTTCCAGCCTCGCCCGGCGCCCAGAGGGCTCCGCCACCCCGGGGCCCCGCGCCTGCAGCCCGCGGCCTCCCCCTCTCAGGGCTGTCTCCAGCCTCGTGCCGGGATGGAGGCCGCCCCTGGCCTGGGGACACCCGTCTGCCCCCCGTCTGGAGACCGGCTCCTCATCCTGCAAGGCGCAGCGCGAGTGTCCCCTCCCTTGGGGGCCTGTCCCGGACCCTGCACAGAGTTCACCGGTCCTTCCGCCACCCTCAGGCCACTCCGGTGACCCTGCAGCGTCTCCTGGCGGGGCCGCCTCCCCAGACCCGCCTGTGTCCCGGGGGCTCGCACCTGGCAGGCCTCGGCGCAGGAGGGAGGGGCGGTCGGGGAGCCGGGCAGGGCGCGACGGTTCCTGGGCGCCTCCCGCGGGGGCGCGTCCTGGACCTGCCTTCTGGGGACCCCGGCGCGCAGGCGGTGACCCCTCCCTGTTCGCTTGCAGCTGCTGCTTTCTTAGTGGGCTCGGCCAAGCCTGTGGCCCAGCCTGTCGCTGCGCTGGAGTCGGCGGCGGAGGCCGGGGCCGGGACCCTGGCCAACCCCCTCGGCACCCTCAACCCGCTGAAGCTCCTGCTGAGCAGCCTGGGCATCCCCGTGAACCACCTCATAGAGGGCTCCCAGAAGTGTGTGGCTGAGCTGGGTCCCCAGGCCGTGGGGGCCGTGAAGGCCCTGAAGGCCCTGCTGGTAAAGTGGGCACCCCGGGTGCCCTTCCTGCGCGGGCATCCCTTCCCGGCCAGCCTCAAAACTGCACCAGAGGTGTCCCGGCCCTACGTCAGGGCTGTTTCCCGTCCTGCCCCTCCAAGCCCTGTCCCTGGGAGAAGCCCGGGTCTCCGGGTGGGAACTGGGTGGGGCGCATCCGAGCTGCAGGGGCGGGGAAGGCGGAGATGGCCCCGCGCGGGTGCGCGTCCCCCGGAGACGCCAGCGGAACCGCCCCGCTCCCGCTCCCCACAGAGCCGGCCGCTGCCGCGCCCCCGCCTGAGTTCTTGGTGGCAGGGCTGGGGGCACTCAAGCTCGGCTTCTGCTTTCCAGGGGGCCCTGACAGTGTTTGGCTGAGCCGAGACTGGAGCATCTACACCTGAGGACAAGACGCTGCCCACCCGCGAGGGCTGAAAACCCCGCCGCGGGGAGGACCGTCCATCCCCTTCCCCCGGCCCCTCTCAATAAACGTGGTTAAGAGCAGCTCGAGCCTGGTATTTTCTCATCCAAATGCTGATCCCTGTGGGGGACCGAGAGTGCCAAGTCCCAGATTTTGTGAGGGGTGCTGCGTGAGAGAGGGAGAGAGAGGCCGCGAGAGTCTGCAGGTGGCATAGAGCCAGCAGTGCAAGGTGACAGAGATGGGGCCAGTATCAGAGGTAAACCGGATTTGGAAACAAAACTGGCAGGTCTTTCTTCCTGTTGTGCTCTGTAACTGTTTATGAAGCATAAAAATTATCTACTCCTTGAAGACTGGCGAGAATGCAAACGCACCAAAGCCATTTGTTGCTAAAATTTGAAAGTTTTTATTTTTTCCCTCTATACTTGTAGATTTCTTCCTCGGAATGGGGGAGGAATGAGGGCTTCAGGAAATCCGCTGTTGGGCTTGTTTTCCCTGCAGTTTCTGCTGGTTTTGTCCAAATAACCTAGTGACTTTGATTCCTTCTACTCTAGCGGAGAGACCACCTTTTGTCAACTGATCTAGTGTTGGTGGGAAGGTGCCCAGGGAACCCAGACATCGGTGTCCCTTTCAGGGGAAGCCTCCCAGTTGACTTCCTTGCTGGGATGAATAACTCTGCCTCAGGTGGCTTGAGCAGGTCTTCCCCCCATCATGAATATCCACACGAGATTTTAAAAATTTTTTGATTGGGCACGGTGGCGCACACCTGTAACCCTAGCACTTTGAGAAGCCAAGGCAGGTGGATCACTTGAGTCCAGGAGTTTGAAACTGGCCTGGGCAACGTGAGGAAACTCCGTGTCTACAAAAAATACAAAAATTGGCCGGCGCGGTGGCTCATACCTGTAATCCCAGCACTTTGGGAGGCTGAGGCGGGTCACGATGTCAAGAGATCGAGACCATCCTGGCCAACATGGTGAAACCCCGTCTCTACTAAAAATACAAAAATTAGCTGGGCATGGTGGCACACGCCTGTAGTCCCAGCTAGTCGGGAGGCAGAGGCAGGAGAATCGCTTGAACTGGGGAGGCAGAGGTTGCAGTGAGCCAAGATCGTGTCAGTGCACTCCAGGCTGGTGACAGAGCGAGACTCCGTCTAAAAAAAAAAAAGTACCGAAGTTATCCGGGCATGGTGACGTGTGCCTGTAATCCCAGCTTCTCGGGAGGCTGAGGTTCACTTGAGCCAGACAGGTCAGGCTGCAGTGAGCCGTGACTGTACCACTGCACTCCAGCCTGGTCAGCAGAGAGATACCCCGTCTCAAAATACATAAATAGTACAATAAAATAAAAATTTTAGCCATTTTGATGAGTTCACAGTCAAACCACAACAGGGAAGAAGCCACCTGGATCCAGATTCCATGAAATCTGAGCAACACGTTGCCCCCAAGGTCATGAAGGGCTGTGAATCTTCATGGGGTGGGGAAGGCTTTGGTCTGGACAACAGGAACCAAGAGTGAGAATCACAAGGTCATGGGGACACCGACCTCAGCACGACCCCAGGCCCACCTCCCCCAGTATTACATATCCAGGCTTTCTGCAGGTTGTCTGCTAACAATTCCTTAACTAACTGGATTAAAACATCCAGGTAAATCATTATGAGAACATGGTAGGCTACGGGAGCTTGGTGGAACTGACGGTGGGTGGGCTGTGGTACTATGTGGTACTAGATGAAGGACCCCATCCCGAGATGGCCCTGCTACCCTCCACCCCTGGAATCTTTCCAGGAAAACAACGGGGGGAAAGCAAAGTGCTTAGTGAAAAAGGGAAACTGCGAACACCAGTTGAAGTTCCAAGACCAGCTGCAACGTCTAGCTTCCTTCCTCCTGTAGATTCCTGGAAGAGAGACCATCATAATCCTGGAGATACTGGTCCCAAACATACTGCTCTTCAGTGAGCAGGTATATGCAGACCTGCCCCCAAAGACCAAGGGAGCTAAGGGGTCAAAAAGAGTCTGACAAGTCCAGTATCTCACAAAGAAACATTTAATGGGGACTTGAAAACAGAAGCTATGTCTCGGATGGCCTTGAGGCGGTGCATCCCCACACCGTCAACTCCCAGACCCAGGGTTTGTATATCACAGGGAAAAGGTACACATGCTTCAGCAGGGACGTATAAGACAACTGAAGTCGACCCCTCAAAGGCAAGAATGCCATGCCCAAAGTGCTGGGACTACAGGCATGAGCCATGGCGCCCAGCCCAAGGATGAAATGTTATAAAATGGTTACTATTTTAAAAATATTTTATATTGTCACAAAAGACCAAACACAAATTCTTTAAAGCAGCCTCTAAAAATTGAAGTTAGGAAAAGAAAGAAACTTAACTGGGTTTCTAAGCGGGGGCCTAACCACCAAGGAACTATTCTAAGTAATGTAAAAATGTAGTAATTGAATTCTCCGCCCTGCGGTGGCTCCACCCCAAGGACAAGAGGAACTGTGAAAATAATTTTAAACTTCTCTTACTGGTGGTATTGCGATACTGAGGCCGTTCTGTGCATCTTCTGTGATAGATAACTCAGATGTATAATTAGGTTAATGTCATTGAAGTCAGGTTTCCGGCCAAGTTAAAAGAAGATGCTGATGATGTAAGAGTAAGACCTTAAGGCTCAAGATCACACTTGGAAGCATAATTGTAAATGCCTGATATTTTTAGACATGGAGTCTCACTCTGTCACCCAGGCTGGAGTGTAGTGATGCGATCACAGCTCACTGCGGCCTTGAACTCCTGGGCTCAGGCGATCCTCCCACCTCAGCCTCCCAAGTAGCTGCTACTATAGGTGTGAGCCACTGCACCCAGCTTTTTTTTTTTTTTTTTTTTTTTTTTTTTTTTAATTCATGGCTGGCACAGTGGCTAATCCCAGCACTTTGGGAGGTCAAGGCAGGAGGATCCCTTGAGTCCAGGAGTTCAAGATCACCCTGGACAACAAGGTAAGTCTTTTGTCTTTACAGAAAATTTTAAAAATTCGCTGGGTGTGGTGGCGCACGTCTGTAGTCCCAGCTACTTTGGAGGCTTAGGTGAGAGGGTCGCTTGAGCCCGGAAAGTCGAGGCTGCAGCGAGCTGTGATTGCGTCACCGCACTCTAGCCTGGGTGACAGAGTGAGACTCCTCTGGGTGACAAAGCAAGCCTCTGTCCCACCTCCCCCCGCAAAAAAACACCCCAGCATTAACAGGAGTTTGGAAGAAGTTGATTCCAGCCTAATGGATAACCAAGAGGTTCAAGGCTTCAGGTAGCAACTGCAGATGTGGGAGAAATAACAAGACCACTTGAATTAGAAGCAAAGCCTGACTGAAGATGTGACTGAATTACTGCAACCCCATGATAAAACTTGAACAGGTGAGGAGTTACTTCTTATGGATGAGCAAAGAAAGTGGTTTATTGAGATGGAATCTCCTCCTGGTGAAGAGGCTGTGAACCTCACTGAAGTGACCATATAGGATGTAGTTTTAGAAGAGTACATAAACTTAGTTGATAAAGCAGCAGCCGGTTTTGAGGGGATTAACTCCAATTTTGAAAGAAGTTCTACAGTGGGTAAAATTCTATCAAACAGCATTGCATGCAACATACAGAGAAATCTTTTGTGAAAGGAAGAGTCAATGCTGCAAACTTTATTGTCTTATTTTAAGAAATTGCCACAGCCACCCCAACTTTCTGCAACCACCACCCTGATCAGTCAGCAGCCATCAACACTGAGACAAGATCCTCTACCAGTAAAACGATTATGACTCACTGAAGGCTCAGATTTTTAGGCGATAAAGTATTTTAAAATTAAGGCATGTTCCTTAAGACATAATGCTATTGCATAATGAATAGACTATACTATCATGTAAACAACTTTTACATGCACTGAGAAACCAAAAAGTTAACGACTTGCTTACTGCAGTGGCCAGAAACAAAGCCCACAATATCTCCAAAATATGCCTGAATTCAGCTGTCCCAGCACTATTCATTGAAGATGCTACACTTTCCCCAATTGAGATATCTTGGCATGTTTGTCACAAATCAATTGACCAGAAATGTAAGGGTTTATTTCTTGGGCTTTAAATTCAATTCTATTGACCAATGTGCTATCCTTATGCTAGAACCACACTGTCTTGATTACTGTAGCTTTGTAACTAGTTTTAAAATCAGGATGCTTTAGTCCTCCAACTTTGACCCTCTTCAAGACTGTTTGGCTATTTTGGAGGTCCCTTGGATTTCCATATGACTTTAAATATTAGATTGTCAATTTCTGCAACAAACAAAAAGTCAGCTGGGATTCTGATAGAGACTGCATTGAATCTGTAGATCAATTTAGGGAGTATTGCCATCTTAATATTATCCTTCAATCCAAGAACATGAATTCCATGCTTTCTTGGGGGAAAGCCTTAGTCTGTCATCATTACGTATCATATTACCTGTAGGTTCTTTGTAAATGCCTCTTACCAGATTGAAGTTGTTCTCGTTTTTGTTTGTTTTTGGAGAGTAAGTTTTGTCAAATGATCCTACGCTTTTGTCCTTTGTTCTACTGATACAATACATTACATTAATTGGATAAATCCCACTTGGTCATGGTGCAAAATCCTTTTTTATATATTGCTGAATCCTATTTTGCTAGTATGTTTTTGAGGACTTTTGGATCTATATTTAAAAGTGATTGGTATGTAGTTTTCTTTGAGATATCTTTGTCTGGTTTTGATATCAGGGTAATACTGACCTCACAGAATGAGTTAAAAAGTGTTCCCTCTTCTACTTTTTGAAGTTTGTGAGGAATTGGTATCAGCTTAAATACTTGATAGGATTCACCAGTGAAGCCATCAGGGCCTATGCTTTTCATTTTGTAGTTTTTTTTCATTACTAATTCAATCCCTTTATTGTTGTACATCTATTCAGATTTTCTATTTCTTCTTGAGTCAGTTTTGGTAGTGTCTTTCTAGGAATCTATCCATGTCATCTACATTGTCTAATTCATGGGCATACAATTGTCCATAGCATTCCATAATAATCCTTTTTATTCTATAAAGGTTGGTAGTAATGTCTCCCTTTCATTCCTGATTTTAGTAATTCAAGTAGCTTTTTATGTTCAGTCTCTTTAAAGGCTCATCAACTTTGCTGATCTTTCCAAAGAATCAGTCTTTGATTCTCTACTGTTTTGTTTTGTTTGTTTGTTTTTTGGAGACAAAGTGTCCCTCTCTCGCCAGGATGGAGTGCAGTGGTGCGATCTCGGCTCACTGCAACCTCTGCCTCCCGGGTTCAAGCAATTCTCCTGCCTCAGCTTCCTGAGTAGTTGGGACTACAGGCGTGCACCACCACGACCAGTTAATTTTTCTATTTTTAGTAGAGACGGGGTTTCACCATGTTGCCCAGGCTGGTCTCCAGCTCCTGACCTCGTGATCTGCCCGCGTCGGCCTCCCAAAGTGCTGGGATTATAGGTGTGAGCTACCACGCCTGGCCCTCTCCTGTTTTTCTATTCTCTATTTCATGATTTTCTGCTCTAGTTCTAATTACTTCCTTCTTTCTGCTTGCTTTGGGTTTGGTTTACTGTTTTCCAGTGTCTTAAGTTGAAAAGATTTAAGATCTTTTTTTTATTTTTGAGATGGCGTGTTGCTCTGTCGCCCAGGCTGGAGTGCAGTGGTCTCAGCTCATTGCAAGTTCGGCCTCCTGGGTAGCTGGGACTCCTGCCTCAGCCTCCCAAGTAGCTGGGAATACAGACGCCCGCCACCACGCCCAGATGATTTTTTTTTTCGTATTTTTAGTAGAGACGAGGTTTCACCATGTTAGCCAGGATGGTCTCGATCTCCTGACCTCGTGACCCGCCTGCCTCAGCCTCCCAAAGTGCTGGGATTACAGGCGTGAACCACCGCGCCTGGCCCCAAAATCTTCTTTTAAAATGTGTTTATAAATTTAAGTATTGCTTTCACTGCTTCCCATGTTTTGGTATATTGTCTTTTCATTTATTTCAAAATATTTTCAAACTTCCCTGGTTTCACTTCATTGATTGGATAATATATTTGGTATGTTTTCAATCCTTTTGAGCTTATTATGGCTTGTTTTATAGCATCCCATATGATCTGCCCTAGAGAATATTCCATGTACACCTGGGAGAAATGTATATTCTGGTATTGTTTTACTTCTCTATCAGGTTCAGTTGGTGTTTCCTATTAACATCGATTTCTGCCTAGTTGTTCTATTGAGAGAAAGGTACTGAAATTTCCATTTATTATTGCTGAATTGTCAATTTCTCCCTTCCAATCTGTCAGCTTTTGCTTCCTGTAGTTTGGGGCTTTGTTGTTTGCTGTTGTTCATCATTAGAAGATATATCCTTCATCTCTAGGAACATTTTTTGTTTCCTAGTCTATTTTGTCTGACGTTAGGATAGCTCCAATTTTTATAGTTCCTGTTTGCATGACATCTTCTTCCATCCTTGTACTCTCAGCCTATTTGTAACCTTTACATCTAAAGTGCATCTCCTATAAATATCATATAGTTGAATCTTAAAAATTGATTCACATACCAAAGTTGCAACAATTATACTTGTTTTATAATTGAATCAAATCCCCAAAATCATTTAAAAACATTTCTGGACCCATATCAACAAACCTGCTATTTCTGTTTTATAGGAATCTACTGAACTTTGTAGCAAACCTATTTGTTTCTCTCTAAGTACTCATGAATACTTGCATTGACTCTAGAATATGAACATCAAATTCAAAGGGGTAATGCATAATTTAAAAAACTCTAAATTTTATTTTTCTGAGACAGGGTCTCCCTGTATTGCTCAGGCTGGTCTTAAACTCCCAACCTCGAGCAGTCCTTCTGCCTTGCCCTCCCCAAGTGCTGGGATTACAGATGTGAGCCACCACGCTTGGCAGCTACTCTAAATTTATCTATGTATCAACAGTGTTCTTCAAATTTTACTTGTAGTTTTTGCAATTTATAAAATGTTAAATTACAATTAAAATTTTAAATGTTAGAAAATGTGTCAAAGCCATATTCTGGATTTGCATTATAAAGTTTCGATTTCAACATAAATTCTTGTACCTGTCTGTGAACATCACAAATAAGCTTTTCCCTTCCTTGGAGCTTCAACTTTAGTTCATTCATATTCAGTGTGATATTGGTGAGAAAATGTGCGCCACAGACTCTGACATTTTCTGCTTTAGATTATTGCATACACGTTAGCATTCCTTTTGTTGCAAAAGAATCTTAAATTGGAATCAATAGGACAATGAATCATTAAAACTCCTTCACAATTCAGCAAATAATCATTAGCAAATACATGATTTTTAAACTTTTTTTTTTTTTTTCTCGCTCTTGTCGCCCAGGCTGGAGTGCAGTGGCACGGTCCTGGCTCACTGCAACCTCCACCTCGCGGGTTCAAGCAATTCTCCTGCCTCAGCCTCCTGAGTACCTGGAATTACAGGCGCCTGCCAGCACTCTGGGCTGATTTCTGTATTTTTAGTAGAGATGGGGTTTCACCATGTTGGCCAGGCTGGTCTTAAACTGCTGACCTCAGGAGATCCACTCGCCTCGGGCTCCCAAAGTGCTGGGATTACACAGGCTTGAGCCACCACTGATTTTAAATTTAATAATTTGTATGTATATATATTTGTGTATATATATGTGTACATGTGTATATATATGTGCATACAGGTATATATGTGTGTGTGTGTGTATATATACACACACACACACACACACACATATATATATATATTTGAGATGGAGTCTCCCTCTGTTGCCAGTCTGGAGTGCATTGGCACGGTATCGGCTCACTGCAACCTCTGCCTCTCAGGTTCACCTGATTCTCTTGCCTCAGCCTCTCGAGTAGCTGGGACTAAGGTGCCCACCACCACTCCTGGCTAATTTTTGTATTTTTAGTAGAGACGGGGTTTCACCATGTTGGGCAGGATGGTCTCGATCTCCTGACCTCGTGATCCACCTGCCTCGGCCTCCGAAAGTGCTGGGATTACAGGCGTGAGCCACCGCACCTGGCCCCGTCTATATTTTTTAAATTAGAAAAATAAGAACATACATCTCACTTTAACTACTAATTAGGATTTACATAGGCACAGTAACTGCATATAACATTTAGATAAACACTATAATGTTACTTTGGTTAGTAGCAAAATACTGTTAGAATGAAGTCAATTCTTTGATATCATCTGGCAATGTGTTTATGTGTAATACAAGCAAGCAAGGCAATGGTTCTCTTACACAATGCAACAATTAAAAGATAAATGTGATCCTATAAAAATCATTGTTTTGCTTGACAAAAAAAAAATATATTTTTCAGTACCAGTCACAACAGCCGTATTTCAAATGCTCAAAAGCCACACATGGCTAGAGGCCACCACACTGAACAACACACAGCGCGAGTCCTTTGCATGAGGGGAGCTTCGCAGAGCTGAGAATTCTTGGATCCCTCCCTTCGCTGCTTGTATGTTGCTCTACTTAAATACCTCCCAATGCTTGGTCTTACCAGCAACCTCAGAAAGGCAGTCTTTTTACATTTAAACTATTTTCAGTAATAGAAAAAGCCAAAGGGAAACAGGCTAAAAGAATTAATTTAGCATCAAATGCTACCTTTTATCATTTTCTGGAACTAATGGCTGTTTAGTAGGGGCACAATGGATTTCTCCTGCAGACTAAAATCTGAATAAATGATAATGGGGAATGAAGTAAAATCCAGCTTGAGAAACAAGATTCTTCAACTAAATACTTTTGTCAGATGGGTGAAGGAAAAATGGGGGCCTTGGTGGCAGACATAAGATTTTGAATCAGGGTTTACATAATGAAAGCACTGACTGGACAAAACTCATTTATCTGTCTTTTCATCCACACGAGGCAGGAATTGAGATTATTACTTCCCTTTCCTAAACATTTCAAAATTCCCTTTCCTTTCTAGGCTTACTGCTCTGCAAGCCCTCCTCAGCTTAGCTGTCAACTGGACCACACCAGAAACCAGCTGACTAGTCTGACACCAAGTATTCATCTCCCCTTTTCATGCATCCTGCACAGTGCTGCTACAGCAACCTTCCCAGTAGCCCAAGTTTCTTCCTCCACACCTATTACATCTTCAGCATCCAATGCACTAGATATAAGGTCAACGAACAACTTGGAAGTCAAGGATTATGCCTATAAATCTTTATTTCCAAACTAAGCACAGAGTCTGACAATTGTAAATCTCTCAATTTTAAGTAAGCTTAGGCAACTTACTAGTGGGTAACTCTGTAAGCCCAGCAGCTTAGATTCCCTTTGCTGGTAAGCTGGAACGTATCCGGCAATTAAAGCTCTTGAAGCCTGCCTCAGGTCGCACTTGATAGAGCAAGCAAAATTTCTTGTAACAGACCAAACTCATTTAATAGCTTTTCGGTAGATTAGAGTGATCTGAAGTTTGTGATTCAAAGAAAATGAGAAAACTGACATTTCCTTGTTCATTTGATTAAAAATGTTAAATGTGCTAAAACTGTAGAAACTCGTTTTCAAACTACTTTGCAATCCAGCAGTCCTCCCAACCCCTAGCTATAGACTAGCTGGTTAGATTCATTTATGTAACAATCTATTTAAAATATTATTCAGGGGAAATTTACTTACAAAAACATTTCTCAAATTATCCTAAAATTCTAGTAGAAAACTATCTTCTACAAGTTTCTTCTAACATATAACCACTCATTATGTTAAAATTATCTTTATAATATGTGTAAAAGATTTTTTTTTTTTTTTTTTTTTTTTTTGAGACAGTCTTGCTCTGTTGCCTGGGCTGGAGTGCACTGGTGCGATCCCGGCTCACTGCAACCTCTGCCTCTCGGGTTCATGCCATTCTCCTGCCTCAGCCTCCCGAGTAGCTGGGACTACAGGCACCCACCACCACGCTCGGCTAATTTTTTGTACTTTTAGTAGAGACAGGGTTTCACTGTTAGCCAGGATGGTCTCGATCTCCTGACCTCGTGATCCACCCGCCTCAGCCTCCCAAAGTGCTGGGATTACAGGCATGAGCCACCGCGCCCAGCCAAAAGCTTATTTTAGAATCAATTTGAATACCTAAATAATAGTCTAAAAAGGGAACTCTCGGTAGATATTGTTATCTCGTTATCTAAAAACCTAAAAACTTTATTCTAAATATATTTCAGTTCACGTTTCTTTAGGTACTTGTTCTTTTAAAGAACATTAATTGGAATTTATCAAGTAACATGGCACATACTTCATTAACTTGTTTTTTTTTAAGACAGGGTCTTGCTCTGTCACCCAGGCTGGAGTGCAGTGGTGCCATCTGGGCTCACTGCAACCTTAGCCTCCCGGCTCAAGCGATCCTCCTGTCTCAGCTTCCCGAGTGGCTGGAACAATAGGCATGCACAACCATGCCCGGCTAATTTTTGAATTTTTTGTAGAGGTGGGGTTTTGCCATATTGCCCAGGCTGGTCTTGAACCTCTGGGCTCAACTGATCCGCCCACCTTGGCCTCCCAAAGTGCTGGGATTACAGGCATGAGCCACTACAATCAACCTAACTTTATACTTACTTTTTTGACAATTATATGGAGGAACAAAAACTTATCATAGAGGTAAAACTACATACAGTCATGCACTGTGCATAATGACATTTTGGTCAAAGATGGACCACATATATGAGGATGGTCCATAAGATATATTAGAGCTGCCTATTCAGGTATCTTTTTTTTTTTTTTTGAGAGTCTCACTTTGTCATTGAGGCTGGAGTGTAGTGGCACAATCTCCTCACTGAAACCTCCACCTCCTGGGCTCAAGCAATTCTCCCACCTCAGCCTCTTAAGTAGCTGGGACCACAGGCGTCTCACCACGCCCAGCTAATTGTTCTATGTTTTATAGAGATGGGGTTTCGCCATGATGCGCAGTCTGGTCTTGAACTCCTGGCCTCAAGTGATCCGCCCACCTCGGCCTCCCAAAACGAGATTACAGGCGTGAGCCACTGTGCCCAGCCTCAGACATACCACTTTTTATACTGTATTTTCACTTTTTTTTTTTTTTTTGAGACGGAGTCTCGCTCTGTCGCCCAGGCTGGAGTGCAACGGTGCGATCTTGGCTCACTGAAAGCTCCGCCTCCAGGTTTCACACCATTCTCCTGCCTCAGCCTCCTGAGTAGCTGGGTCTACAGGTGCCTGCCACCACACCCGGCTAATTTTTTGTATTTTCAGTAGAGACGGGGTTTCACCGTGTTAGCCAGGATGGTCTTGATCTCCTGACCTCGTGATCCACCTGCCTCAGCCTCCCAAAGTGCTGGGACTACAGGTGTGAGCCACCGCACCCAGCCTACTCTGTCTTTTCCATGTTTAGATACACAAATATTTACCATTGTCTTACAACTGCTTACAGTGTTCAATACAGTAACATGCTGCACAGGTTTCTAGCCTTGGAGCAACAGGCTAAGCACACAGCCGAGATGTGTAATAGGCTACACCATTTAGTTTATGTAAATACAATCTGATGTTCACACAATGGCAAAATCACCTAAGGATGCATTTCTCAGCATACATCCCCCTAATGTGCATCACTGTATTAAGGATTAAGTAGAACATGCCTACTTTAAAAACTGGAGATCAAAGGAAATATTATCTAAACTGTCCAGATTTTGCATGGTTTTTCCCACATGTACATAAAAATGTACGTCTGCTATGGAAGTCGTTCTAAAAGCAAAGGAACTCATGTTGTTTTCTCAATTGTAAGGTGACATCGGAAGACTTAGGAAGTCACACGTTTTTAGAGTTTACACATACAACAAAATACAGGCAACAAGACATTTAATGAATTATTATAACCCCAACACAATGTTTGCTACTGTATTTAAAAGCATTTATTTAAAATATGTCAACCTCCTTCCAAAAGACGGAAGACACATGAGCCCATTCCTTATATCATGAGGTATAAGGTAACAACAACGAAAATCCTAAATGCAAAAGGACCATCAGTTGCCTAAATATAAAATTGAACTTTGGCAAAGATATGAGTGTTATACAGAATAACAGCCAATAAAGAAATACATTAGTTTACACCATTTCCCCATATCATGGCCCCGTCCCCCTGCACTCTTCCCTTTGGAAGGCTGAGTTACAACCCTGTCCCAGAAGATTCAGAATTTTAAATACGTGGTCTGCTGATCAACATTTATTTTTCCTCAAACCTCAGTACTACAGCTATACAAACTACACTTCTAAAATATTTGAAACAGATACTGAATTTATTGGTTGGCTATGAGTAGGAAAATACATCGGTAAAGAAAAAAGACCCTGTATATAAATATAATGCTAGCTAATTACAATTTGACCAAGAAGGTTCCACTGAACAGAACAGTAAAAGCCCTTGTTACTGCCAGTCCGTATGGTTTATTCAGTTCCCATCACCCTCATCAAAGAGCTGTCTGGGCGGATGTGACATTCTTTGAGCTTATAGTGCAGATAATGTGCTGGGTTTTGTTACATGAATGGTAAACAAGAGTTAGTCCAGTGCATCACACAATATAATGTACTGTGAATAAAGACTAGATACTTTTAGACACTACTTCAACATACCAGTTATTAAAATGTATGTAACCAAAAAGAAGAGCAAAGTGAACATCTTAAAATACTGTTTACGAATGGTGAAGAACACCTGCTGAAGGAGTTCTTGGAATTATCTGCAACATCTGTACTGGACATTCTGAGAGCTTCACTGAAAAAACGGTGCTGTCATTGTTTTGCCTAGCTTGGCTTTAGTCCTTATATATGACCCCAAAACCTTACAAGTCAGTATGGAAACTAGTTCCATAAATTTAAATAGTACAAAGTGAAACTCTAAAACTTGAATATTATTATTGAGAACCTGAATCTCGAAAGAGCTTTGAAATTTTAATTTAAACATTTAGAAGTGCATTCCATCCAATTTAATAATGTCCCTAAGTTTGAAAGTGCTAATAATCCCAAGTAAGTTTTCCTGGTTGTCACTAAATCATATTAAACACACACACACACACACACACACACACACACATTTCTGGAGATGTTCTCTGCCTATCTTTGGGACTATGAAAGTTGCACTCAACAATTCATTTCTACAACTTTAGCTTAAATTATGCCATAAGTTAACTTGACGAACAATATTGAAACTCTCAAAGCATAAATAATGACCACTAATATGGTAAAGCTGTACTTCAGGAGATTGGCGACAAGGATTTGGGTGCCTTCAAACTTCTGGTCTTTAAAACAGAAAACATGCCCTAAACTTTTTGTAAGACATTTCTAAAATGGATTTATCCAGCAAAAATACTGAAATGACATTATGGCAACACATTAAATATATTTGTTACAGAATTTTTGAAAAAAAATATACACCGTGAAAACATACTAGTTTTTATTGCATTTTAGGGATTATAGATTATTGAAAATTATTTAGGACACGGAAAATATCTAAAACATGAAACCTTTCTTAACAAAAGCATCATAGTCTATTTTGGTGTGACTGTTCATTACCTACAGACCCCAAATAGTTCTTCCTCTTTTGAAGGTTACACTTGTAAATCTACACTCTTGGTTCAATTTATCACTGTCCAAATAAGGTGGAGAAGCTGTTCAAACTGATCCACAGAATGCAGTATGCCTGGAAGAGGCAAAACAAGTATTTTCAAGACATAACAGGCCATTACATCTTAATATGCTGCCCCAAATTCAAATATATTGTAGACAATAACAAATACAGATGAAGACATTTTGTGTAAAGCTCAAACCTTTAGCATCTAACAAGTGCACTCTAGTTCCAGCATCTATGAAAAGATGACATCCTCCATTAACAAATACAACATGAGTAAGTGCTCCTCCTCTCCCGCTTCCATAAAGCTCTCTGGACCTGTGATTACATAATGCAGATCGTAGGAAAAGCTGCTTCCTCAGTCTCATTAGTCCAACCAGCTCCAGCTCACCTTCACTGGAAATTGTCATGATGCACATTACCAACACAGTGTTCAGGAAAAATGAGTAAACATACCTTTTATTCACACTTTACAAAAAAAAACCAATAACAAAACCCCATAAAAAGTTATGCACTGGTTCTACATCAATACCAGCTTTCCAATGTACTGATTATAAACTGGATGTGTTTGGTGTCAGCACAACTTAAACAAAAAGCAAAAAACAAAACCAAAACATCACAATGAAATCCTAGAAAAAACAAAAAACAAAAAACCCTCAAAGGAAAAAACAGGTCCAAGACCAAGATTCAACATCAAAACCTTTTGGAGAATTTTCTAAAAGGAGAAAAAAAAAAAACATAAGAATCATTTCCAAAATGACTCATTTTCTGTATAAAAATTGTTAGTAAGAGTGAGTATTTTTTTTCCTAATGCTCACATGGCGTCCTTTTGCTCCCCTGCCTGCAGTTGAAACAAAAGCAGTTTGACCAAGCTCCCTCTGCATTCATTTGACTTTTGAGAGAAGAATGAATAAATGAGAGCAGACCATGTACATGTTCACTTTGCAAAGTTAAAGCTGGTTTTCATCTCTAAATGGCACTATGGGCAAAATAGACGGTATGATGTAATTTTTATCTTGCTTGACATACTAAAATGACTTAGTC